>NT_187578.1:0-219541 GCF_000001405.40 Homo sapiens
CTTTTTAAAAATGTTTTTATTAAACATTTATAAAAACATATTTTTATTAAAGTTCTGTGTTCCATGTGTCTCATGCCTTTTGCTGGCTTCTGTCTGGAAGTATTTCCATCCACTGATGTTATTTGAGAAATAGGCCACACATATACAATGCTCATTTTTTCCTACTGAATAACTTCAGGGAATTCAGGAAACAGAAATCAAGGATAAAATAGAGTATTAGAATCTATTTTAAAACAGCCTCATGAATTCAAGGAGCAGAACTGAATGTACTACATTTAAGGTGGCACCATGAAGTAGCAGAAAATGTGGGGCTTTGGAATTAGATGTACATGGGTGAAAATTCCAGCTTTGGGACATCTGTGTTTGCAGGGTGGTATATTGGATGTGGTTAATAGATATGCTATGAAAATTTCACTGAAAATCCAAAAGAATATGAAAATATAATAAAATTAACAATGGTACTGACAAAGAAAAGAATGTAGTTCAAAGTCTGGCCCAAATTTTCACTAACTGCATCATTGAGGGGGAAGAATTAAGAAGCACTTTCCTAGATGATGTACCATGTGCTCCACCTAATCTAGTCCCTCGGAAGGTGATGAAAAACTCTAACCAATCCCTTCCCTTTATACCCAACTCAGGATAATGAAGGGTCACACAACTAGAAAAATCCAGGGTCATTTTGCAAGTTATGCACACACTGCTCCCCTCTGAGCCAGACTGATCTGGAATCCTTTCTCCCAGACTCTGTGACAGTGCCCCAGCCCATCAACCCTCCAATGGCAGTTCTCTTTCTCCAGTCCATGAGGTAAATACAATGTCAAAGACACACACTGCAGGAGGAAGAGAGGCTCAGAAAAAACTGCATTGTATGGTATACTATGAAAGAAATGTCCTGTATTATGGGATATTTAGTCAGAGAAAAAATGAAAACAGGTAGAGACATGTGGAACACAGATAGTAGTTAATAGATAGGGATGAAAGAAATGATCAGATTGAGGAAGGGAAGATCCAACCTTAGCTCATTAGTCCATCTGCTAGGAATCACAAATGAAGCTGTTTGTGCAGAAGCTGGGTTGTGCAGAAAACCCCAGACTCCTTATGTGAAGGAAAGTGGCAACATCAGAATGGGGTGTAAGGAGGAGTGACAATCCACCCAAGCTTACACAGGACAAACAGTGGAGTTGGATTGAAAGATGTGTAAGCAGGAAAAAAAATCCCAAAACCAACAAAACCAAAAAGCAAATCGTAGGATGCAATTAAAAAAATACTGACTAGGGAAGGATACTCAATAAATGTGGTAAGTGTGGGGAGATAACATTTTGAGATACTAACATTTTTTTTTTCGTATGTGTACTTCACTTTTTCATCAACCTCCTACCCCTACCCCATTCAATGATTTGGGCAGTTCTATGCTCCTTGCTCAAGGCAGGGGACAGGATAGGATAAAAGATAGAAACAAAGGAGTCTTATTGACTTTGTCTCCAAAAAACCTAGGCCCTTAGGTGACTGGAGAGAAGCTTAGGCACAGCCAAAATGTTTGGGATGGAAGAGAAAGAGGTTGATCTTGCTAACTCCCAGGTAGAAGAAGGTGGATGGATTGGTCCAGGAAGATGGATCCTGTATCTTGCTTTCTGGGGAAAGCCTGGAATTCAGAGAGGAAACAGGTGTGATAAGTTTAGAAAGAATGGGTCTTAGCCAGTTTGGTGGAGATTTTGATGTCTCAGTATGACACAGAAAGGTTAGAATATATTATGTGTCCATAAAACAAAAGGAAGAAGAAGAGAAATACATCCAACTTGAAGGGGGCAGGCAGAGAGAAGCTGGTGATATTTCTTTTAGTGGTGATCTCTGCAGATTGATAACAGAGAACCAAAAGGGGTCACAGCATTCTCAGAGGAAAACTGCATAGAAACATGATATTGAACATCAGATGGGAATCCAACCCTTTACATCAAAATGGCGTAGCACTGTATAAATCACCCAGATTTTAAACACACTCTTGGGCAAGGGGAGGGAACCCTAAATTTTTATTTTATAGACTTAGAGGGTACAAGTGCCATTTTATTACATAGCTATATGTGTAGTGATGAAGTCTGGGATTTTAGTGTAACCATCACCTGAATAATATACATTTTACTCATTAAGTAATTTTTCATTCCTCACCCCCTCCCACCTTTCCACACTTCTGAGTATTTTACATGTATTATTTCATATGTTCACATATACAAATTATTTAGCTCCCACTTATAAGTGAGAACATGTGGCATTTAACTTTGTTTCTGAGTTGTTTCACTTAAGATAATGGCCTCCAGTTCCATCCATGTTGCTTCAAAAGACATGAGTTCATTCTTTTTTATGGCTGCATAGTATTCCATTGTGTGTGTGTGTGTGTGTGTGTGTGTGTGTGTGTGTGTGTGTGTGTACAAAGAAAATGTGTGTATATGTATATATATATAGTGGTGTGTATATATATATATACACACACACACATATACACACATTTTCTTTATACAATCATCTGTTGATGGACACTTAGGTTGATTCCATATCTTTGCTATCATGAATAGTGCTGTGATAGACGTATGGGTGCAAGTATTTTTTGATATGATGATTTCTTTTCCTTTGGGTATATACCCAAGAGTGGGATTATTGCTGGATGGAATGGTAGATCTACTTTTATTCCTTTAAGAAATCTCCATACTGTGTTTCCATAGAGGCTGTACTAATTTACATGCCCACTAGCAGTGTGTAAGCATTCCCTTTTCTCTGCACCCTCACCAACATCTGTTATTTTTTCATGTTTTTCATAATAGCCATTCTGACTACTATAAGATGGTATCTCATTGTGGTTCTAACCTGCATTTCTCTGAGGATTACTGATGCTGAGCATTTTTTTATGTTTGTTGGCCTTTTGTATGTCTTCTTTTGCAAAATATCTGTTTATGTCCTTTGCCCACTTTTTAATGGGGTTATTTTGTTGTGGTTGTTGAGTTGTTTGCATTCCTTATAGATTCCAGATGTTAGTCATTTTTCAAATGTATAGTTTGCAAATATTTTCTCCCATTCTTCAGGGTGTCTGTTCACTCTTTTGATTATTTCTTTTGTTGCATAGAAGGTTTTTAGTTTAAGTAAATCCCATTTGTCTATTTTTGTATTTGTTGCATTTGATTTTAGCAATGAATTATTTGCCATTGTTCAGGAGAGTTTTTCCTAGATTTTGTTCTAGTATTTTTATAGTGTTAGGTCTATAAGTCTTTAATCTATCTTGGTTAATTTTTGTATATGGTTAGAGATAGGAGTCCAGTTTCATTCTTCAACATACGGCTAGCCAATTTTCCCAGCACTATTTATTGAACAGGGTACCCTTTTCCCAGGTATGTTTTTGTCAACTTTGTAAAAAGATCAGTTGGCTATAGTTATGTGGCTTTATTTCTGTGCTCTCTATTCTACTCCACTGATCTAGGTGTCTATTTTTGTACTAGTACCAGCTGTTTTGGTTACCTTACCCTTGCAGTATAATTTGAAGTCAGGTAATGTGATGCCGCCAGATTTGTTCTTTTTGCTTAGGATTGCTTTGGCTATTTGGGCTCTTTTTTGGTTCCATATGAATTTACTTTTTTTTAATTCCTGAAAAATGATATTGGTATTTTGCTGGGATTGCATCGAATCTGTATATTGTTTCGGGCAGTACGGTCATTTAACTATATTGATTCTTATGATCTGTAAGCATGGGATGCTTTTTCATTTGTTTGCGTCATCTACAATTTCTTTCATCAGTGTTTTGTAGTTTTCCTTATAGAGATTTTTAACCCCCTTGGTTAAGTATATTCCTAGGTATTTTTTTTGGTAGCTATTGTAAATGAGATTGAGTTCTTCATTTGGTTTTCAGCTTGAACTTTATTGATTATATAAATGCTACTGACTTTTGTACAACAATTTTGTATCTTCAGACTTTACTGAATTCATTTATCAAATCTAGGAGTCTTTTAGAGGTGTCCCTAGGGTTTTCTAGGTATATCATTAGCAAACAGAGGTAATTTGGTTGGCTTCCTCCTTTCCGATTTGGATGCCTTTTATTTCTTTCTCTTGCCTGATTGCTCTGGCTAGGACTTCCAGTACTATGTTGAATAGGAGCAGTGAAAATGGGCATCCTTGTCTTGTTCCAGGTCTTAGGAGGAATGCTTTCAGCTTTCCCCCATTCAGTATAATGTTGGCTGTGGGTTTGTCATATATGGATTTTATTATTTTGAGGTATAGAACCCCAAAATATGTGAGATTAAGTTTATCCTATCTTGGTGGAATGGAAATTCAAAGTATATTTTAGGTCAAGTTGTTAATATTATTATAATGGTCTACTTATTTGCACATCTGAGATTAATATTAACTACATTGGCTATAATAATTATTCTCACATCAACACCTGAGTCCCTCTTTTTCATAATAGAGGTCAATCTTTTAAAATAAATAAAAATAAATTGTATTGATAATTTTACGCCACTTTTTAAGGTAGCTGGAGAGTAGCTACCTTAAAACATAGGTTATAATTTGCTATTATAAAGACTTCAAACTTATTCCCATAGACTTAATTCAGGTGGTTCAACAGTTTAGTAACAAGACCTAAGAGCCAGGAAAAAAATGTAAGTGCAAACTTTACTTCATTCATTTCTCTTTCCTGTGAGTCAAGTATATCCAATGGTGCAAAACCAGAATTCTTCTTAATGAAATACACATGCATACTAGTTACCTGACCTTGGGCTAAACGAGACCAATAGAAATATCATTTATATAACTCAGAACTATCTCTAAAAGCAGTCAGCTTTTAGATTACAGAGGGCATTGGAGAGAAGCTGCTTATAGGTCCATAGAACGCTTTGATTTTAGTCATTTCTCTCTTGAGATTATGAAAGCCAGCAAGCCTGTGAAAGCTCACTCTGGTGTCTCTTCTATTTAACTTGCAGGTAAGTTTTTCATCTAACCTTGTGAAATAAATAATTCAAATGATGATGCGTGAAATTTTATCAGCGTCTTCCAAAAATAAGACAGAGGAATTTATTTGCTGCCACAATTTCCAGATGACAGAAAAAAAAGAAAAAAACTTTCTGATTTTTATTCCATTGTGCTAAAAGCTTCAGAAGAGCTGTGTATTGGTATTTTAACTGGTTTATATAAAATATCACCTTGTGACAAAAAACCAAACACTGCATGTTCTCACTCATAGGTGGGAATTGAACAATGAGAACACATGGATACAGGAAGGGGAACATCACACACCGGGGCCTGTTGTGGGGTGAGGGGAGGGGGGTGGGATAGCATTAGGAGAGATACCCAATGTTAAATGATGAGTTAATGGGTGCAGCACACGAACATGGCACATATATACATATGTAACAAACCTGCACGTTTTGCATATATACCCTAAAACTTAAAGTATAATAAACACACACACACACACACACACACACACACACACACACAGTGTTGGTGGCAATGTAAATTAGTTCAGGCACCATGGTAAGCAGTTTGAAGATTTCTCAAAGAACTAAAAAATAAAAAATAAATAAAATAAAATAAAATATCACCTTGTAAATTCTGGATAGCTAGTCTCACCCTATTAATACCTTCCTTTATAAATCTTTACATATATTTCACTGGAAAATATTTTAGTTAAATGCATTTTTAATTCTGTAATGCTAAGTGCTTCTTATGCACAAGCACTCTGTCTTGTGCTTTCTTTGTAGCAATAACTAAAACAGTCTTTTTCCTCAAGGAGCTCTAGGCCCAGTGGGAAAACAAATGAGTATACAGATAATTACAATTCCATGATATAAGTATTGTGATGAAGACTTGTTGTATTAGTCTGTTCTCACATGGATAATAAAGACATACACGAGACTGGGTAATTTATAAGGAAAAAGAGGTTTAATGGACTCACAGTTCCACATGGCTGGGGAGGCATCACAATCATGGTGGAAGATGAAGGAAGAGCAAAGGGACTTCTTACATGCCAGTGGGCAAGAGAGGACTTGTGCAGGGAAACTCCCTTTATAAAACCATCAGCTCTCATGAGAGTTATTCACTGTCAGGAGAACAGCACTGAAAGACCTGCCCTTGTGATCCAATTACCTCCCACCTGGTCCCTCCCACAACACATGGGAATTGTGGAAGCTGCAATTCAAGATGAGATTTCGGTGAGGACACAGCCAAACCATATCACTTGGTATCTACACACATCAAGTATGAAATGGTTAAACAGGAAAATCTCAGACCATTACTGATGGTGAGGATGAGACATGGGAGATAGGCCACAGGAGGAGTCATGCTTAGCACCCTGTGGCACCCATTTGTAGCTCTGAGGTCCTATCAGAGAGTTACTCTTTTGTCTAAAGGGTGGCAATTTCCTGCCCTCTCCCATCCCAATAGTGAGGGTATAGACGTGCCCAGTTGTGAGGGTATAGATGAGTACCCTTTAGGGTACAGTCTTTCTAGGGGCAGAATTCAGGACCCTGAAGGCCCAGCTCAGGAGAAGACAGGCAGAGTCACAGACTAAAAGGAGGCAGGCAGAGTGAGAGGTGCCGTTACCAGAATCAGACTAAGTTACTACAAATTTATACAGAGCAGGGGAACCTACTGGGAACTTACCTTGTGCTTTGTTTCCACTGCTGTGGTCCTATCAGCAAGAATTGAAAGGCATGTGGATTCCCCCCTTGAGAGTTTAATGAAGGCATAGTGTGCCTAAAGCCCTGGCTTTCATTTCTTCCAGAAAAGGCAAAAAACCTTCTGTTAATCTTGGATCCTGAGACATCAAGATATTTCTAATGAGAATCAGGGGCTCTTGTGGGGAAACGAGAGGTAAGAACAAATTCCTGGTGTGTCAGATCAGTGGTACCATCTGGCCACCAGGAACAACATCAGGTAACAATAGGCTGAGAGGCACAACTCCTCACGCCCAGCTCAGGGTCCCACATGTGTCTTTTCAGACTTCTTAAACCCCCAGAGAGAAGAGAGGGAGAGATAGGGGAGAGAGTCCCTAGGTGAGTTCCCATCAATCTTGACTGGTAGCACTCTGAGTTGGGTCTCAATTGAGGGTTCTCAGTCTTGACACTTGATATTTTGGGTCATATAATTTTTTACTGTGGGGGTTGCTCTGTGTACTGCAGGATGGTTAGCTGCATCTTTAGCCTCTACCTGTGAGATGCCAATAGCACCCTAGCCCCTCAGTGTGACAAAGTGGTCTCCTGACATGGCCAAATGTTTTCTGGGGTTCCCCAGTTGAGAACCATTGTTCTAAAACAAATATGAGAAAATGACAAGACATTATCTGAACCTGAGTCTTGTGGAACAGGCCAGATCCATTACACCTGGGTAATGAGTATGTACTTCAGGCATTTTGTAGACTTATTGGCACAAACAAACTTCTTGAGCAGTGATAGAAGGTGGAAGATAACACTAAGGGCTCCCAAACAAGAATAGGCATCCCATGTAGGCAGGGTAAGATTCACGGATAAGAATCAACAACACTTATACAGTGAAAGAAGGTGAACCCAGCTAGGACAGAGCTATAGCTTTGAGCCACACCTGGTGACCTCTTACCAGGTCCCTACTGAGGAAGAGCTGGACATTTATATCAGCTCCCAAATGAATACTCTTTATAATTTTTGTGTATAACTTTGTGATCCAGGCATCAAAAAATCATTTTTACATGTAAGTTACCCATAAACCATGTGTGTAGAGTTTTCGTTCCAGAATACCTGGAATTATTAAGAAAACCTTTTGTTGTCCTAATAGAATCCATGACCAAAGGATGGGCCAGGTGTGGTGGCTCAGCCTGTAATCCCAGCACTTTGGGAGGCCAAGGTGGTCGGATCACCTGAGATCGAGAGTTTGAGACCAGCCTGACCAACATGGAGAAACCCCATCTCTACTAAAAATACAAAATTAGCTGGGCATGGTGGTGCATGCCTGTAAACCCAGCAACTGGGGAGGCTGAGGTGGGAGAATCGCTTGAACCCGGGACACGGAGTATGCGGTGAGCCGAGATGGTGCACCATTGCACTCCAGCCTGGGCAACAACTGTGAAACTCTGTCTGAAAAAAAAAAGAGTACTTTGACTACTGTTTTGAATCCTGGGTGAGCTCTAATTGAATATCAGAGTAAAATGTCTTGTGCTTGGGCTTCCTGGAGCAAAACCAGGTAAGCAGTAACTCTCCTCTTAGAGTATGTTGCTTCTACCTTGCTTTTCTCTGAGTTAGGAAGCAAGGAAAAGGATTCCTCACATCTGTCCCCTTATCCAGACACTTTTCTGGTTTCCCTTTTGTGACTATTTCCCTGTTTCACACTGCCCTTGGCATTTATTAGAGAATCTCAATGTATCCCAAAGAGAGTGGGATCCACAGGGTTACTGGGGCATCCTGTTCTGAGCTGCAGCATCCAGTTCTCTCATGGTATTCTTACCAAGATCCATTCTCCCAAGCCCATCTATTTTCATTCAGGATTTGCAGTTCTCTATCTCCACTGTCATTTCTTCCTTCTGAGTTATTATCACTGAATTTTAGTATGGGATTAAACTTTAGAAACTATTCAGTCCACTCTCTTTCACCCCTACCACATATGTGTAACTGAGTATCAGAGAGGGTAAGTGACTTACCTAAAAATACCTAGCTTAGAAGAGAATATAGGACACAAAAGAGGACTGAGGATGAAACATCTGGAACACCAACATTTCAAAGATAAGAAGGCAAGACAAGTTGAGAAGGAGAGTCAGATGTGCTCAAGGAAAACCAGGCTCAAGAAGTGATGGAGAAGCCACAGGAAGAGAGAGGGTCAGGAAGAAGGGAACAGCTAAGAATCTAGTGCTGTTAGAGGGGAAAGCATCCCTTGAACAGGATTTCAGGACCCTGATGTCCTGTGGGGGGAAAGGCAACCTGCAGGAGTTAAAGAGGGGCAGAAGGAAACTCAGGATTTTGATGATGAAGAAGCTTTAACTTGGAAACAAGGAAGGATTTCCTTCTCCCCTTTCCTGTCAGAGAATGCTACTGAATACCTGGAGAATTCAGTGAGATTTCCAGCAGTGTAGACAGCAGGACAAGCTGACCAGTGATGCTGTGAAAAGCTATCCTTAATTGCAAAGCTTCCCTTGGAACTTTAGAATTTCTATGGGGTAAAAGAGGGAACTGGGGAGGACAGAGGGGCAAAACAGAAAGAATTGAATTGATTAATTCTATGCCTTCTCTTTTGGTGGAGCAGAATGGACTATCAGCTCTGTTAGGGAAATATGTGCTTTTGTAATGGAGTTTAAAATTGTTTTTCTCAAATTTCTGCATCTTTTATCTAAGTAATTGATGAAACAGACTACCTGCTAGTTACATGCTGCAGGGTTATTTTTCTGCCTGGAGGTGTTTTTATTCTCTTGAGAGAAGGATGCTATTTCTGTAAATCTCAAACATTACATGCATCAGAGAACTCAAGGAAAAAGCTTTTATTCTCTTGAGACAAACACAAATAGCTCCAGTTTCTTCTACCTTTTGTTTAAAGCCACCTCATAAAGTGCTATCACAAACAAGCTCCCCAAATGAATTGTTTAGTGCTACAGTTTATTGGTATGCAAATAAACATGCACATATTGCATTTATATTCCATATCTAGTTATACTATGCTCTCTAAGAGTGACAGATTTTAGAAGACTGATAGATTTTATTCAATGGATAATAATAAATACAGGCAAATAAGAAACTCATATGTTAAAAGGTAAATAAATGATTAATAGAAAAATTGTAAAATTTTCTGCCAAGAGATTGAAGTCTAGATTTTTGATAACAGAATGTTAATTTCCTACTCACTCTTATTTTCTCCTTTTAAATCAGATGATAGTTTCCCAAATTCAAGTTATAAAGCCATAACACAACTTGCATTTTTTTTTGGTATGCTAAATGGTAAACTTCACATTGCCAGAGTGGTATCTTTGACAATTTTCTTTTGGGAGAGCATCTCAACCATAGCATGTAACCTGCATACTACATTCTCTTACACAAGGGACTTATGTCACTCAATTATATTTTAATACTTTTTATTAATTCTACCTCCCAAATGAACTTTATTTTTTCCATCATATTTTCTACTTAGTATTCCTTTTGAAACTTCTTCAGCTGAAAGTTAGGATTCCATAAATAGCCCCATAGTGGCAGAGGTGGCTGTTGGGCTGGTTGGGGAGTGAGCCTGGAAGAGGTTATAGGCCTATATGACCCAAATTGATCATACAACTTCAAAACGAAGAAGCTATTTTAATTTTGCACATTGTCTTACATATTCAGAATTGAACCTCATATGGTTTGAGAAAATGTACTTTTAATTCCAGACGTTGTCTTATTTTCCCTGCTGCATCTACACTCCCTAGCAGAGTATCTGGCAGACAGTAGGCATTTGCTAACTATTTCTTGATTAAATAGATGAAGGATAATTCTGCAGCCTTGAAGAAACAAACATATCCAAAGAAACAAACATATTTGATTTAGTCTAGGTCTGATTTTGTCAGTTTTGTCCAAATTCCAAAGCAAAGCATTCCGTTATTTGGTCAGATAAAAATAGGAACAGCACAAGGCATTGAAAGCTAGTAGTTGTAATGTGGATGTGTGCAAGATTTGGCAGCAATATCTGTCACTGTGTTGATGAGCAGGGTGGATCCAGCTGATGTCTAGAATACAGGGTACCAAAGTGAGTCATGTTATTCTTCCTGAGGATTACAAAAGTCGGTTATAAGCAACAGTTTAAGGTAAGTAGATTGGGAACAAATTGTGGCGTGCTCTGATAACCACATTGAAGAGTTTGGACAATAACCTATGCATTAGGAGACTGTGAAAGTGAAGTGGTATTTTCCTCTGTGTGTCAGTGGGACATCTCCAATAGCACTGTGCTATGTGCATTGAAGACTAGGAGCCTTTTGACCACTAATTTTTGAACCTATTTCAATTTCTAAATTTCTGGTATTATCTCCTCTGCCATAGGAGGGAACTAAGGCAGAGTTTAATGTTTTGCAATCATAAAACCGTTATAGGTTACAATTCTGTGTACTGTAGGATGGTTAGCTGCATCTTCCATGTTGGAAGGCATCTTTTGCAAATACAAAATTATAATCACCTAAATTATAACAGCTATGAGGATATATATAGCGTTATAGGATTAGGAGTATGTATCATTGGTGTGACCATTAAAATAAATAAAACTCTGAAATTAATTCTTATGTGTCCGTTATGTACCATGCTTTCAGTCATTCTCAAAGCAATAGTATTATGGGTAAAAGGAAGATCTGCTGTTTCAGTGAACTCATTTGTGCTCCTTATTTCAGGAGAAAATAAGCCAATAGCAACAAAAGTGTAATTACAAAGGATTGTCCACCTGCGTTATCAAATAAATACCTCAATTATCTGCATTATTTGTTAGTGGATGTTCAAAATAGCCTTACAAATAATTAGCATTATTTCATGGTATGAAAAAACTCCTGCCCAGCACAAAAATTTGCAGGTTAAATTTTGATTCAACAACCAGTTCAAATGCCTGTTTTGAAGCAGCCACTGCACTATGTATGCCAAAACAGATTCTATAATACTCTACTTGTTACAGGGCTAACTTGGATATGCAGCCACCTGGGTAGTTCTTCTGCTTGTCAAGCCCAGCTCAGCAGCAGCTCTGGGTTTGTTTGGAGATTCTCGAAGCCTCTTGAAAGCTGTAACTAAAGTAAGGTCAGTAGTGGAACTGAGGCAATATAGCTGATTGCATTGCATCAGAGCCCCTTGGGCTATGAGAAACCTGTGTGACTTGACAAGTTTCAAGTGATAATGAATGTGGCTGTTGAAGAGTCTGTCTAGTTTAGCCATCATTTTATCCTCAGATCTAACATAACTGCCTAGCTTATAGTTGTTGCATACATTTACAACATACATTTGTCGAGTAAATGAATTCAGAACTAAGCAAATTGGTGGTAAGAAATGTGCAGAAAAGAAGGAAAAAAAGCTTATCCTCTGCACAAATAAGTTTTTTTTGTGTGTGAAATACTATATAAAGTTAACAAGTTTCTTTTTCACACTGGAGCATCTCAAAAATTTAGTATGACTGTGAATCCTCAGGAGAAGGATTTAATAAAGCAGTTTCCTAAGCTTTTGTTGAGTGTAAAACACTTTGTACTCAAAATACTGATTAGCATCTTTCTGCAGTGCTTGGGCTAATGCAATTAAAGATCAGTATGACATAATATGCATAAAATTACTCAAGTTAAATTTTGTTTGCTACTTTTAGGGGCATGCTCTGTGTGTATCATTGCACACTGGGCCTCCATGACAATAGAGTACATAAAATTCTTGAAATATTTGGGTGTACCTATAATATCAGTAATCTATTCTGATAATGATTGGAGTAATAAATTATTCTGTAAGCTCTGAGGTAACATAAATCCTGATCTTTAATCTGTCAAACAGTTGCAAAACCAAGTTATACAATACTGAAGAGTATAGAAACAAGCACAACGGGGCCAGGGGTTCTGTTGTGCATCTATATCCAAAATACTAGGGCAGTTTGTGAATTGCTAAATAAAAATTACTGAGTTCCATACCCCTTCCAGAATTTTTGGAGGCAGGCTGAGGGAGGCCTACAGATCTGCATTTAAAAACCATTCCAAATAACTCTAAAGCAAGGAGGTCAAAGGAGTACAGTTTGGGTAACACTTATTTAAACAATAGCACAACATATCATTGTACTGATCAAATAAATCCAGTTTTCCTAATGTAGAGTTACCCAGTTCTTACCTTTTAAACACACAACACACATATCTCCTCTGGGTTTGGATGAGATTATTGCATCCTGGGATTATGAGACAGAGATATATATCTTTAGTGGACATTGGTAGCCATTGCAGAAAACGAGTAAAGAAGGTATAATTCAGAGTTTGCTTTGGGATCCTGTTTCACTAGTTGCACTTATTTTTAAGATTACTGTGTCAGCAAGGATTGATATTGTAGCTTGAGTTGGAAGCTGCAAGAATGGTAAGGAGGGGAGAGATGCCATCTAAGCAAGGAGGAATGGAACAAACCCCCACATCTGTCAAGTTGACAAATGGTCAGAATGGCTGATAGAATGGTTAGGTATGATGACTGGTGACATGGGCTCTGGACTCAAGGTACTTTAACTCTACTGGTTAATAGCTGTGGGGCCTGCTAAACTTCTCTTGGCCATAGCTGTTTCTTTTCCTTTTTAAAATGAAGATAAGAACATTGTATATCCCATAGGGTTATTTCTGAGGTTTAAATGAGATGGTTTCTATAAAATGTATAGCCCAGTTCCTGGTATATAGTAAACATTTAATGTCAGCAATTATTAAGTGGCAGTGGCCTCCAGCTCCTCCATTATAGTATTTGCCATCTTGATTCAATCCTGTCAGCATTGCAGATACTGTTATTAAAAATGAAATGTGCCTGGCACAGTGGCTCACACCTGTAATCCCAACACTTTGGAAGGCCGAGGCGGCAGGTGGATTGCTTGAGGTCAGGAGTTTGAGACAAACCTGGCCAACATGGTGAAACACTGTCTCTACTAAAAATACAAAAAAAAGAAAAAAGAAAAAGAAAAATATTAGCTGGGCGAGGTGACGCACCTGTAGTCCTAGCTACTCAGGAGGATGTGGAATGCGAATCACTTGAACTTTGGAGGCGGAGGCTGCACTGAGCTGAGATTGCACCACTGCACTCCAGCCTGGGCAACAGAGTGAGTGAGACTCCATCTCAAAAATAAATAAATATGGCAGCATAGTATTCCATAGTGTATATGTGACAGATTTTCTTTATCTAGTCTTTCACTGATGGGCATTTGGGTTGGTTCCAAGTCTTTGCTATTGTGAACAGTGCCACAATAAATATATGTGTGCATGTGTCTTTATCATAGAATGATTTATAATCCTTTGGGTGTATACCCAGTAATGGGATTGCTGGATCAAATGGTATTTCTAGTTCTAGATCCTTGAGGAATCGCCACACTGTCTTCCACAATGGTTGAACTAATTTACACTAATTTACACTCCCACCAACAGTGTAAAAGCATTCCTGTTTCTCCACATCCTCTCTAGCATTTGTTGTTTCCTGACTTCTTAATGATCACCACTCTAACTGGTGTGAGATGGTATCTCATTGTAGTTTTGATTTGCATTTCTCTAATGACCAGTGATGATGACCTTTATTCCATATGTTTGTTGGCTGCATAAATGTCTTCTTTTGAGGTGTCTGTTCATATCCTTCACCAACTTTTTGATGGGGTTGTTTGTTTTTTTCTTGTAAATCTGTTTAAGTTTGTTGTAGATTCTGGATATTAGCCCTTTGTCAGATGGATAGGTTGCAAATATTTTCTCCCAAAGGATGAGTTCTTGTCCTTTGCAGGGACATGGATGATGCTGGAAACCATCATTCTCAGCAAACTAACACAAGAACAGAAAACCAAACACTACATGTTCTCACTCATAAGTGGGAGTTGAACAATGAGAACACATGGACACAGGGAGGGGAGCATCACACACCAGGGCTTGTCAGGGGGTGGGGGCTTAGAGGAGGGATAACATTAGGAGAAATACCTAATTTAGATGATGGGTCGATGGGTGCAGCAAACCATCATGGCACGTGTAACAAACCTGCATGTTCTGCATATGTACTCCAGAACTTAAAGTATAATAAAAAAATTATATGTTAAATATAAAAGATGAAAATATATGTACATATAAGCCTATATATATATAAAATATAAAAATCTCTAGACAGAAGAAAAATAAAATAAAATAAAAATAAAACTATATACTCTTACATGGAGCACAGCCTTGGAGCTCAACAACTTGGGATCAAATATCAGCTATGTTCCTCACATTTACAAACTGTGTGAACTCAAGCAAGTTATTAACCCATGTGAACCTGTTTCTTCACCTGTATGTAGGGATAGAGTACCTAAGGAAAAAAGATGGCTATCATCATTGTCATAATTTTCAGTTGCTTAAGCACTTGACAACTTAATGTCCTTGTGGGATCAATTTAGGTGTTCCTGCATCTTTCTAAACTTTATTACATTAACTTGAGTTCATTGAAAGATTCCCTGACTTCCCAGCAGGAGCAAGAGAGTGCCCAGGCTCAGGGCCAGCTGGAGTTCCAGGATCCACCCAAGTCAGGAATGAGTGAGAATAGCAGGTAGCTCTGAGGTGTTGGGTGAAGAGGGGCCAGAATCTAAGTCTTTGGCAAGGATGAACTCAGGTAGCCAGCGATGCTTCAAAGTGTCATGACCAAGGGGAGATTGAAGAGAGAAATGCATTCAAGAAAAAGTTTGGAAACTGGAAATACGCAAGGCCGACTGAGTGTCGCAGAGGCCTTGCCTGGAAATGTTCTCCCAGGCAGTTCTCCAGGACGGGAGGAGCCTTGCAGAAAACTGCTAGCAGAAGCCCCTGGTTGGTTAAAAAAAAAAAAAAAAAAAAGGCCGGGCGCGGTGGCTCAGGCCTGTAATCCCAGCACTTTGGGAGGCCAAGGCGGGTGGATCACGAGGTCAGGAGTTCAAGACCAGGCTGACTAATATGGTGAAACCCCGAATCTACTACAAATACAATAATTAGCCAGTCGTGGTGGCACACGCCTGTAATCCCAGCTATTCAGGAGGCCAAGGCAGGAGAATCACTTGAACCCAGGAGTCGGAGGTTGTATGGCACTTTGGACAATACCTTATACAATGTATAAGTATTGCTCTTACGTTACATATTATATGTGAACTCATTGAGGCCAGATTCTGTGCCTAATCCAATTTTGAATCTGTGAATCTCAGAGAGTAAATGTTTATTTAATGTCATTTGATTCCAAGAGATCAACTTTTTCATCATCCTTGTGTTTCCCATTCCCTTCTGTTTCTAGGACACTTTTCAAATATTTAGGGCTCTTTAAGGACAATTATAAGTTTCACCTAATAGGTTTTTCATATTTTAACCAGTCTGATGTTCTTTGTAATAGGAACTCAGATTTATTTTGTATTTCTAGAACAGTTACAGATCAGAATGTGTTTTCTACTTAGTAATTGTGTGTGTATTACATAGTAAGGGGAGATCTAGCAGCATATTGGAAGCTTCAGTATTTCCCACATCTATTTTGTGTTACAAAAGATTATAAGGTTCTGTGAAAATAAAAATAAAAAGAGTAACTTTTACTTTTCCACATAAATTCTTTATCATTAGTTTGATAACGACTTGAGAAAGTTAAAACTTAGCTCAAATATGGAAGTATAGCTTAGGATTGCCATGACTATGTGAAAGGATTTCTTGTAAGTTAAACCGATGTGGTATTTAGAAAGATGTATTTGTGATATCATTGGTGGAAAATGAGAAAATTTGTATGACTTAGGAAAGGAAATTAGGAAATACTTCTACAAATCTCATCATTGTCTCTTAATTTTTAAACAAGGTAATTACAGAATAATTTAGAAACTTTTACATAAAATGTTAAACAACTGTATTATGTTACAATATTCTGTTCAAACATCAACGTATTTCAAAACCTGTAATTTCCTTAATGAGAGAAGATTTCCTTTTCATTCTCTTAGTTGGAAGGAACACTTGGATGCAGAGGTTTAACTCTTGATAAACAGGACAGATTATACACTTGAGGACAGAATGTATAATTAGGAAACTAAATTAAAGAAGCCATCTGCTTCTTTACACCGAAGGTGGAGTGCACGGGGTCCTCTGAATTGCAACTAAAGACTAAACGTGTATGCAGCTTTATGCTCTACCTTTAGAATGGACAGAACTCTTATTGTGACAGTTGTCAGAATAGAGTTAAATGACTGGTTAAAGTCACAATATTAAATTTGGATTTAGGAAAGGTCTCATCATTCTTTTACTCTTCTTATCTTTTATATTTTTCACTTGTCTCTATCTTAGAGTGACATCAACATCATTATTCATACATTCGCTGAAACTAGAATCTGTTTTAGAGTCTTCATTTGTTGTGCAGTCTATGTCAGAGGAAATAATGCTGTTGTTTGCAGAATTGGTATAATAATTTGCCCTCTGTTCCCTCAGATTTGGTTCTGTTTTTCCTTGTTGACTGTAATAATTTTAAAAATAATGAAAATTTTCATTTGTTACATATTTACTCTGTTCCAGGCATGATAGGACATATATATTTTCTTCACTATGAAAATACCCCTCTCATGGTCATTCTAAATGTAATTATCAACACTTTGACTGCAAAGAGACTTCGTGGTTGTTTCTGATTCAGGAATTTTATGTATTTTCAATGCCTTTCTCCCCCTTATGACTACTGCATTTTATATATGTATGCATTTATTTATTTTTAATTGACAAGTAAAATTATATCTATTTATGGTGTATAACATGATGTTTTGTTATATGTATACATTGTGGAATGGCTAAATAAAGCTATTTAACATATGCATTATCTGAATTACTTATTTTTTGCAGTAAGAACACTTTAAATCTATTCTCCTAGCAATTTTCAAATATATCGTTATTAACTTTAGTCACCATGTTGTACAATAGCACCCTTGAAATAATTCCTCATATGTAATTGACAATTTTAGTCTTTTGACTAGATCTCTGGTAACCACCATTTTATTCTCTATTTCTATGAGTTTGACTTTTTTTATACTCTACATATGAGATCATACAATGAATACTGCATTTTAGTAGTGATTGCAGAAGAGTCCTGATAATGCAGAAGTTAATTCTAAGAGCCGTTGGCGGTACTTGTCACCTAAAGTTTTTCTTGTATACATTTTCTCAAGGGGCAGAATATCTGGAGATTGTTCGATTTTGGCTTTTACTGTTTTTCATCCTTATAATATTGTTGGTATAATTTTATGTTTCTTATTTAAAGTTACACTTGAAAGAAAAAAATCGACGTTTTCAGAATGCTGAAACTTCTTTGTTCCTACAAGAACGTTATTTCGTCTCTACATAAATGTCAACTATTCATGTGTATTTGTTAAATAAGAATATTAATAGTTCTAGGTAAATGTAAAACTATTTGAACTTCTATAAGCATGCTTGAATTTAAAGTTTGCATTACATGTTTTGTGAGGGAGTTATAGTTGGTGGATATTTTTATTATTTTTATTATTTTTTATTATACTTTAAGTTCTGGCATACATGTGCAGAACGTGCAGGTTTGCTACATAGGTATACATGTGCCGTGGTGGTTTGCTGCACCCATCAACCCCTCATCTACATTAGCTACATAACATCTCCTAATGTTAGCTCTTCCCTAGTCCCCCACCCCCGACAGGCCCTGGTGTGTGATGCTCCCCTCCCTGTGTCCATGTGTTCTCATTGTTCAACTACCACTTATGAGTGAGAACATGTGGTGTTTGGTTTTCCGTTCTTGTGTTAGTTTGCTGAGAATGATGGTTTCCAGTGTCATCCATGTCCCTGCAAAGGACATGAACTCATCCTTTTTTATGGCTGGATATTATACTAATAAAAATATTGTATTTTGTGCCATGGTTTCTGCTGTCATAAGAGTGGTGTCTGAGTACAGGCCTCTTGATCCTCAACTGCTTTTCTTGTACCACTCCAAAAGTCTTAGTATTTGATAATTATGAAATTTTTTAAAGTCACAAAATGCCATATAATAACTAAGACTCTCTGAGGAGATACTTTATAAATGAAGGAGGAGAGAGCTGTACTACCCGAGAGCCTTGATGTCTTCAGAATCAGATATAGTAGACACTGCACTGGGCAGAGTGGTTTCTCCAACTCAGTCCACTGGCAGAGGGAGCAGGGGAGCAGTGGCTTCTGTAAAGTTATCTTCAGACACAGGAAAAACAAATGATGGCAGGATATTGGATAATTTCTTAAGATACCAAAAGCACAACTATCAAGAAAGACATAGGTATATTTGACTAAAATGAAAACATTCTATATAAAAAAATAAGCAAAATGAAAAGTCAAGTCAAGACTGGAAGAACACTTTCATGCCTATAACTGACAAATAATTAGTAACCAGAATATATAAAAAGTTTTACATATTTAAAAGAGAGATAACATAACCCAGTAGAAAAATATGCAAAGGATATATGCAGGAACTGTACAAATAATGAGACCCAAATGGTCAAAAACTATATGAAACTATAAATAACATTTTAGCTATTGAAGAAGAGAAATAAAATGGGTTACCATTTTATGCCCATATGCCTGGCCAGAAAAAAAAAGGTGAAATCAATTATTGATGAACATATGGGGAAGCAGGAACTCCCATATGTAGGTGGTGGGAGTATAAATTGCTTCACTAACTTTGCAGAGTAATTTAGCAATGTCTAGAAAGTTGATGTATCTCCCTGGGGATTAGCAATTCTCCATCTAGGTATATACGGAGATAAGCTTTGGCATATGTGCAGAGACATGTACAAGGATGTCTTTCGGTGATCATTTTAATAATGAAAAACTGTTAAGTAATTTAAACTGTGCACTAATAAAATAATAGATAAATACATTATGATACATTAATAGAGTAACATCAATCAAAATAAATTTATATACATCAATGTGGATAAATATTGAAACAATGCTTTATTAAAAAGGAACTTATGGTACAGTCATACAGAAAGACATGATTCATGTAAATTTTATAATTGCCCCCAAATACTATGTACTGTTGAAGAGATGTATGCCTATTAAAAAAGGTACAAAAACATGAATGGGAAGGCTACTTAGCAACTTCATGAGGATTGTTAACACTGAGGAGGCAGGGAATTTGGATGATTAAGTGTTGATTTTGAATGTAATATTTTATTTTTTATAGAAAGATCTGAAGCAAAAATGGCAAAATCTTGATACATGATTAACCTGGGTGCAGGGGTCTATAGGTAATTGTTATCTATGCACAGGTGACTGGTATCTAGGTACTCTGGGTAGAATTTTTTGTGTTGAAGTAGTTTTCAATTAAAACTAAAAAAGACAAATATTGTGATAAACATCCCCATATCCCAGCTTTTGTGGTCCCTATTAATTACTACCTCTGAATAAATCTCTTACAGTATAATTTTTAGTTTAAAGCATGAACACATTTTTCTCTTAATTCATTTTTAAACACAAGTTATTCATTTTTACTATGGAAAAACTAGAATGTAGAATTAAGGAAAAAATACATCCATAATTCTGTGATCCAGGGATTATCACTTTTAAGATCTTGTTGGGTGTAATTCCAAACATACCACATACTTAGGGGTACCTCCCTCTCTCTCTCTCTCTCTCTATAGAGAGAGAGAGAGAGAGAGAGATTTTTATATATATATTTTTTAATATATATTATATATATATATTTTTATATATATATATATATATATATTTTTTTTTTTTTTTTACAGTACTTACATTCTTCCCAGAGTAAGCACCAGGTAACCATCCCAGAGCTCTCTTGCAAAGCATTTTGCTTTAAGTTAAAATTTCTAAGAACCTATCAACAATGTCAAGTGAGGACTTACTTTATACACTTTTTAACCTTTTGAGTTTGGAATCATGTATTAGGTTGGTGCAAAAGTAAAAGTAATGGAGATATCTATATCTATATCTATATCTATAGATAGATATAGATAGATATATAGATATAGATGGATAGATAGATAGATATAACTATAGATAGATAGATATGGAGATATATATATATATCTCCATTACTTTTACTTTTGCACCAACCTAATACATGATTTCAAACTCAAAAGATTAAAAAACGTATAAAGTAAGTCCTCATTTGACATTGTTGATAGGTTCTTAGAAATTTTAACTTGAAGTAAAATGCTTTGCAAGAGAGCTCTGGGATAGTTACCTGGTGCTTACTCTGGGAAGAATGTAAGTACTGTAAATCTTATAAACCTGTTTAACCTCACACAATCCCAAATGTCAATTTCTATGATCTTCCAACATTGTCTCTGGAAATGGGGGAGTGGACGTGATAAGACTTTGACCAAGAACAGAAGATTTGAAGTACCATTCTTTAAGAAATGGTCCTTGAGATTTTTTTAAAAATCCAAGTCACAGATTTTTCTGGCTCATTGTCTGCCCGGGGCACAGAGAGGGCATAGTGGTGGTGTCGCTGCTGGTGGGAGTCACTGGGGAGGGGTGCAAATGGAATGCAGAGTTGTTAGAAAAAAATCTACTCTAGGACCCTGTTGCCAATTGGGCACTACAAGCACAGTGA
The DNA here is from genome assembly GCF_000001405.40 of Homo sapiens. Taxonomy (NCBI): domain Eukaryota; kingdom Metazoa; phylum Chordata; class Mammalia; order Primates; family Hominidae; genus Homo; species Homo sapiens. The sequence goes on from NT_187578.1 coordinate 21,210, forward strand.
TTAGACCCAGAGCCTGTGGCATCCCAAAGGACTGTAAGCATGGAAATACATACACTTGAAAATAAAAAGAATGAGAAGTAAGCTAGAAACATCAACTATTAATTAGAAGCTGTAATTATTAATGTCAAAAGATAAATCTTTACAAATCATTTCAGAATATACAATAAATCGTGTCTTGGTAATGGAACCAAGTAGCTTGTGGACAAAAATGTGGGACTTTTTGTGTACAGTAAGTCCTCCCTTAACATTGTAGATGGTTCTTGGAAACTGTGACTTTAAGCAAAATGATGCATAACAGGTTCTCGAATATTGTCATTTTGTTCAACCTATTTCATTATAACATTGATGAGAAAAAAAACTGGTTTCATTTTTTGTTATTTTGCTTAAAGTCACAATTTCCAAGAACCTATCAACAATATCAAGTGAGGACTTTATACATTTTTGAATCTTTTGAGTTTGGAATCATGTATTGGGTTGGTGCAAAAGTAAAAGTAATGGTGAAAACTGCAATTACTTTTACACCAACCTAAAAATCTATATATTTAAAATTACAATAAAATTAAGAAAAACTTTAAAAAATCTTTTCTGCCCGTTATTTTACTACCCCCCACTCAGAATTAATGTGTGATGTGATATGGGGTGGGGCCTCCAAAAGTGACTGTCAATTTCAGAATAAAAGGTTTAAAACAGGGCTGTTACTGTCTCTATTTTTGAGGGAAGTCCCACACAAATTTGATGCAATAAATCGAAAAGAAAAAATAACTTAAAAAGAAATTTAAATAACTTTAAAAAGAAGGAAAATTGGCAAAGATTGTCCAAGAGTTCTCCCCTATAATAGCACTGGGTATAGACTTTCTTATAACTGAGTTTTTAGCCAACCTTTTAAATGGGTCATTCCTATGCTACTATAGTTATACTGTTCTTGCTCATGGAAAAAGGTGTAAGTTCTCCAATTCATTTTATAAGATAACTCTGACACAAAAACCTGATGAAGACAGCATAAGAAAAGAAACATACCTGCCAATTTCCTCTTTTCTTTGAACAGTGGAATTTTTTTTTCATAGCTCCCTTGTGCTAATATATTCTTACCCCTATTGGGGATAGAACTCAGGTGGTTCCATTAGAGAGCCTGTGTGTTCCTGTCTGAATTTTTTATGGATGGAAATTTAGGTGCAGATTGGAAAAAAGAACAAAGAGGAGGGAAGAAGCAGATTATCAGCCCTAAAGATTGGACTTTCTTTTATTTACTATTGTTATAAGGTGGAACCCCATGGAAGTCTTCTCTGTAACACATGCATGCACACATACCATACCCCATGCAAAACCCACATCTCTATTTGTTTTACACATTTTCACCCAGTGCAAATCTCTATAGTGGTCTTCAGTATTGTGCCCATTGCTGCTGGTCCACAAATGTTTCACGTGTTACATTTCCCACCAGCAACACAGCCAACTCTTGTTCTGAAGCTCTTACCCTTCACGCTGGGGCTTTCTCCCATTTGCTTTCCAGGTATGCTATTCTTTCTCAGTAATTCATCTCAGGTCGTTCTTTAATGGTTTCCATTAATCTGGTCCATTTTGTCTATTCTGTCAGGAACCCATTGCTGATTTCTAATTTGTAGACTCTGTTTATACACTTTGTTGGACATTTTATTGGGAATTTTGGGGTAAGGACAGCCCTTGCCACCGTTTTGTCTGAAAGTACCTTTACAGTATTTAATTAAATAATATACCTCTACCTTTTACTAAAATTGGCTCTCAAGTTCTTTGTGTAAGAGTCCCTCTCTTTATGAAATGAGAAAATGGAGGCACTTATTTATGTTTGCAAGTACTTTTTATTGTGAAAGCAATTTGTTGGTTTTCCTTTGAGTGGAATTTCCTTCCTATAGAATTGGAGATAAAGAAAAATGTATTTCCTCCATTTCTCCCTCATGTGACTTATGTTATACTCTTAATGCTTACTTTTGTCTTTCTTTTGCATTCCATTCAGAATAATTAACTGTCACCATACAATTCTTCTTGCTCCTGTATAAAGAATTAGCAATGGCTCCCATGCATTTTTGAAATTCTATTTCTTATCTTTTATACCATATTACTCTCTCATAACCAATTCTAGCTGCAAGTCTATTATGAATTATTTTATGGCCAATTTATTCTTTTCTTTCCAAAGACTAAGTATGATTTTTTTTCTGTTAAAGCTACGTGACTGGCATTCCAATTTATAATTTTCCCAAGAATTCCTTTAATGTCCAAAGCATCTGATAAAATATATGTGGGATCACAAGCTTCCATTTGCTCCAGTACATTTTCAATTATAGATAGTGAAGTGCTTAGACCTTCTGAGCTCCCAGAACATATATAATCTCCCATAACTACTGCAAATTTCCATCTGCTTCTATCATCACTCAAACTGGGGGGTCTCAGGTGGATCAATGTGTGAGATAGTCCATGTGGGATTTTAAACTGTGTTTGTTAGAATTACAGATTGATGCCTGTCATCATTGCCCCTTGAACACATTCACAAAGAATAAAAGATCTAGTAGCCTGGTTTATTTTCTCTTCCACCCCGACACAACTACTGGAGAGGAAACATCACTGTGAGGTAGAAATGTTACAAACTCAGTGAACAGATCTGGATTTGAGTACAACTTTATTATTTATCTGGCTTTGGACAAGCTGTTTCTGAGTCTCAGTAAAATGGGATTGATATTAGAAGTTATTATAGTCCAGAACCAGGACTATTCTGAGGATTGACAAGGTAATAAAGGAGCTAATACATTTTGAAATAGAGTGAAGTGTTACATGCTCTGACTGGTGTCGAAGTTTACATAGCAAAGATCTATAGGCCCAGATTTTAAAGGACAAGATGAGGGCTACCATTTCTCCCTCCCCCACCAACTTCCCACTCCCATCAATCCTTGTCACTTTCCCCTGTCAGCAATTCCCTGGCTCATGCTTTAAGATTGGTCTCTCTTGAAGCAGAAAATACTTTAATGTGCCTAGACTGAGGCAAGGGATGGTCTCACCCTCAGTACTGCTCTGCTTCAACCATGTTAATTTTAGAATGGAGGAGTTCAATAGGCAATTAAATATAGAAACAAGGAGATAAGTCAGATTAAAAATTAACTGTGAGGACTTGAACCAAGGAAATACTCCCAAATAGAGAATAAGCCTTTTTGCAGTAATATGCTTATTACAGTATTCTTTACAAAAGGACAACAACAATCCCAGCACTTTGGGAGGCCGAGGCAGGCAGATCACGAGGTCAGGAGACCGAGACCATCCTGGCTAACACAGTGAAACCCCGTCTCTACTAAAAATGCAAAAAAAAATTAGCCGGGCGTGGTGGCGGGCACCTGTAGTCCCAGCTACTCGGGAGGCTGAGGCAGGAGAATGGCCTGAACCCGGGAGGCGGAGCTTGCAGTGAGCCCAGATCGCGCCACTGCACTCCAGCCTGGGCGACAGAGCGAGACTCCATCTCAAAAAAAAAAAAAAAAAAAAAAAAAAAAAAAAAAAAAAGAAAATAGTGCATCACACAAAGGAATTTTTTTTCAGAATAAAATTTTGTCCCCTGATTATGTGGGAAGTTGCAGGCCTGCAGCACCTGGGCAGATAGCAAAATGTTAATAAGGTGATTTTTAATGAGGTGCTTGGGAAAGGAAGGGCATACTCTTGCCATGCACAAATTTCTACTTCACACTTTAAGAAGGGTACAATTAAACAACAGCAATAATAATAGTTTACTTTTATTGAGGGTTTTCTCGGTGCCAGGCCTTGTGCTTAGAACTTTACATGCAATGGTGGTTAAGTGTAGGCTTTCTTCAGCTAGAAATATGCCTTCCTAAGGGATGAATTAGTAAATGTTTCTCTTCAGAGGTGGACTAAGGTATATTAATTATGGAAAATAGCACTACATAGTGAATATATGTATATATATATTTGACATAATATATTTATATGTAATTGGGGACTAGGAGGCATATACATTTCTCAGGAAAGTGCTAAGGAATAGCAAACAGCTTCTCCAGGAACATTTGACTACTCTTCTTAGCCAGTTATGCTCTGAGGAGTGAATAAAAGATGCTGGAAAGAAAGTATAAATTATACAGATTCAATCCATTTGTAGCAATAAACATAATGGCTCTGGCAATATTATGTGCAAATTCCATGAAAATGTAAATTATTATGAATTAGAAATGAACTAGAAATCGATGAAGAATTAGGCTAAGAAGCTTCCTTTTTGTTTTTGTGGGTTATTTTCCTTTTGAGATAAGGATAGTGTTTCCCCAAAGTATCATGGCTTACCTCTATTCCTTGTTTGTATTTGCAGCATATAGCGTTAATAAATACCCACTTGTACATGGGGACTATATAAGCAAGATATGACTCCTTCTCACACCAGTGTTAATGGCTTCTCACTTTTCTATCATTCTAGATTTAACAGTGAAGAATCTCCTCAAATTTCAACAAGTGACTTTATCCTCATAGTTTCCTTGCGTTTTCCAGAGTATGATTCCTTTACACAAACTACAGCCTTTTATATTCTCTATGGACCTGTTGCTGCATTCTTTCCTTGGGTGAATATCTTCTTAATCATCCTCCGGGTTTGGTCTAAGCAGGGAGACCAAATTAGACCCCAGGAGTGTGAAACTGGCATATTCACAATTCTTGTTTCTTACTGTGATTCCTTTAAGTCATCCCTTTAGAGTCTGGATGTAAGTAAATCTATAATCCTAGGTAAACCATACTAGTGAGAGAAGAGCTACTTGTCAAGAAATGGGGGCATACTCATTTTAATTATAATGTATAATTATTTTCTTAATTATTTTTATAATAACTTCAATGACACTGTATTTATATTAATAGCTCTGTAGATTTTTAAAAATAATTTCAACTTTTATTTTAGATTTGAGAGGTACATGTACAGATTTGCTACATGGACATATTGCATGATGCTGAGGTTTGGGGTACACATGATCCTGTCACCCAGGTAGTGAGCACAGTACCCAATAGAGAGTTTTTCAGCCATTGCCCCTCTTTCCTCCCGCTATCCTCTAGAAATCCTCAGTGTGTATTGTTCCCATCTTTATGTCTATGTGCCAATGTTTAGCTCCCACTTACAAGTGAGAACAAATGGCATTTGGTTTTCTGTTTCTCTGTTAATTTGTTTAAGATAATGGCCTCCAGCTGCATTGATGTTGCTGCAAAAGACATTATTTTGTTCTTTTTATGGCTGTGTAGTATTCTATGGTATATGTGTACCACGTTATCCTTTTCCAGTCCACTGTTGATGGGTACCCAGGTAAATTTCATGTCTTTGCTATTGTGAATAGTGCTGTGATGAACATACGAGTACATGTATCTTTTTGATAGAACAATTTATTTTCCTTTCCGTATATACCCAGTAATGGGATTGCTAGGTTAAATGGTAGTGCTGTTTTAAGTTCTTTGGGAAATCTCTAAACTTTGAGAATCACCAATTTCCACATGGCTGAACCGATTTATATTCCCACCAACAGTGTATAAGTTTTCGCTTCTCTCCACAGCCTTGCTGGCATATGTTATTTTTTGATTGTTAATAGCAGCCATTCTGGCTCTCTGCTTCTCCCATTCAACAGACAGCTACATCTTGTGTAGTGCCAGCCACATCCCTGAGATGCTATGGAGAAAGTGAAGGGTGGAGTAAATGAGTTTGGCTGTATTAGACACCAGGTCTCTAGGGCTGCTTTTAACTCTGGCAAAGTAGATTTTGTCATGATCAATGACTACTTCATTGACCTCAACCACATGGTATTTACATGTTCTAATATGATTCCACCCATGACGAGTTCCACAGCACCATCAAGGCTGAGAATGCGAAGCTTGTCATCAATGGAAATCCCATTACCATCTTCCAGTAGTGAGATCCCACCAAAATCAAACTGGGTGATGCCAATAGTGATTATGTTGTAGAGTCTACCCATTATCTTCACTACCATGGAGAAGGCTGGAGCTCACTTAGAGGGGAGAATCAAAACAGTCATCATCTCTGGCCCTTCTGCTGATGCCCCCATATTTGTGATGGGCATGAACCATAAGAAATACAAAAACAGCCTCAAGATTGTCAGCAATGCCTCCTACACTACCAACTGCTTAGCCTCCCTGGCCAAGGTCATCCATGACAACTTTGGCATTATGGAGGGACTCATGACCACAGTCCATGGCCTTCACTGCCACACTGCCACACCCAGAAGACTATGGATGGACCCTCTGGGAAACTGGCGTGATGGCCTTGGGGGTCTCCAGAACATCATCCCTGCATCTAGTGGCCCTGCCAAGGCTGTGCAAAGTCATCCCTGAGCAGAATGGGAATCTCACTGGCATGGCCTTCCATGTCCCTATCACCAATGTGTCAGTCATGGATCTGACTTGCTGTCTGGAGAAAGCTTTCAAATATGATTACATCAAGAAGGTGAAGCAGGCATCAGAGGGCCCCCTCAAGAGCATCCTGGGCTACACTTAGCACCAGGTTGTCTTCTTCAACTTTAACAATGACACCCACTCTTCCATCTTCCATGCTGGGGCCAGCATCGCCTTTGAAAACCACTATACCAAGCTCATTTCCTGGTATGACCATGATTTTGGCTATAGCAACAGGGTGGTGAAACTCATGGCCTACATGACCTCCAAGGAATAAGAACCTCCAGGCCACCAGCCCCAGAAAGATCTCCAGAGGAAGAGAGAGGCCCTCAGTCCCGCACCACACTGAGACTCTCCCTTGCCACAGTTTCCATGTCATACCTTCTAAAGAGAGAGGGGCCCAGGGAATCATACTGTGTTGTGTACCATCAATAAAGTCCCCTGTTCTGAAAAAAAGTAGCCATTTTGACTTATGTGAGATTGGTTTTGATTTGCATTTCTCTGATTAGTGATATTGAGCATTTTTTCCTATGTTGACCACTTATATGTCTTCTTTTGAGAAGTGCCTTTTCATGTCCTTTGCCCACTTTTTAATGGGATTATTTGTTTTTTGCTTGTTGAATTGTTTGAGTTCCTCATAGACTCTGAAAATTGGACTTTTATTGGGTGTATAGTTTGTGAATATTTTCTCCCTTTCTGTAGGTTGTGTGTTTACTCTTTTTTTTATATATATAGTTTCTTTTGCCGTGCAGAAGCTCTTTAGTTTAATTAGGTCCTACTTGTCAATTTTTGTTTTTGTTGCAATCATTTTTGAGGACTCAGTCATAAATTCTTCTTCTAGGCCAATGTCCAGAACGGTATTTCCTAGGTTTTCTTGTAAGATTTTTATAGTTTTACATCTCACATGTAAATCTTAAATACATCTTGAGTTAATTTTTATATATGGTAAAAGGTGGGGATCCATTTTCTTCTGCATATGGCTAGCGAGTTAACCCAGCACCATTTATTGAATAGTAAGTCCTTTCCCCAATGCTTATTTTTGTCAACTTTGTCAAGGATCAGATGGGTATAAGTGAACAACTTTATTTCTGGGTTCTCTGTTCTCTTCCATTGGTCTATGTATCTGTTTCTGTACCAGTATCATGCTGTTTTGGTTACTGAAGCCTTATAGTATAGTTTGAAGTTGGGTAATGTGATGGCTGTGGATTTCTTCCTTTTGCTTAGGATTGCTTTGGCTATTCAGGCTCTTTTTTGAGTCTATATGAAATTGAGAATAGTTTTGTTCCCTAATTCTGTGAAGAATGATGTTGGTAGTTTGATAAGAATTGCATTGATTCTGTAGATTGCTTTGAGCAGTATTGCCACTTTAATGATCTTGAGTCTTCTGATTGATGAACATGGAGTGTTTTTCCATTTATTTGTGTCATCAATAATTCCTTTCAGCAGTGTTTTGTAGTTCTCCTTGTTGAGATCTTCCACCTCCTTGGTTAGATGTCGTCCTAGGTATTTTATTTTTTTGTGGCTATTGTAAATGAGTTGTGTTCTTGATTTGCCTCTTAGCTTGAACTTCATTGGTGTATAGAAATGTTACTGAGTTTTGTACATTGATTTTGTATCCTGAAACGTTACTGAAGTATTTATCAGTTCTAGGAAACTTTTGGTGGTATAATTCCATAGATTTTACAAAATAATGTGTATGTATATGATCTCATTTAATCTTTGCAACCACATGAATTAGGTATTGTTATATTCGATTTGCCAGTAAGAAAATTTATGTTCAGAAAGGTGGATAATTTATTTGTGATCATAGAACCAGTAAGAAGCAGAACTAGAAGTAGAACCTGGGTTTTATGCCTCCAAATCATGTGCTTTTCCCAAAGATCACTCTGGCTGTTTGCAAAAGGCTTTAAAGTAGATCTATGGATTTTGTATAGGACATTTCAAATAGGGTAATAAAATAATAAATCAGTAATTTCAGTACATATTGACAAAGTGAACAAAAGTGAGTTTGATTAATAGTGTGTGAGGTTAGTTATTTTTCTTATAGGTCCCTAAGGGAACATCTATTAATAGGCTTTGGAAACAGAAAATAACTAGCCTACAGATTTAAGACAACATGCAAAGATTTAACCTTACAGACTGAGTGTTTATTAGAAACTTATGGTTGGCTTCTTTGAATGCAACTGATGGGTGTACTACAGAGCTAACAAACAGGAGTTATCTTTGACCTCCACTCCACCACATGTTTGTATTTATTGAACATTTACTATACACCAGACCCTGTGTTAGCTGTTGGGAATATGTCCATGAGCAGGACTGGTCTCTCTGCTTCTGACCTTCTCATTTCCTCATCCAGCACATTCTCTACAGAGATGAAGAGTGATCTTTCTAAAGTGCAAATCTGACCATGTCCAGTCAATGTCACCAGGCTGTAGGTTTTCACAGACAAGAGATCACAGCTGTCTGAGTTACCATTATATCATCATGATCAATCAAATCCAAACCTTGTAGGAAACACAAGGCCCTTCACAACTTGGCTCCTGCTTTCCTCTTCCAGCTCCAACTCCCTTTCCCCCACCTTATACTCTCTGCTCCAGCCATGTTGACCTCCTGTATACAGACTTAGGGGTGTACAAAGTTCTTTTTCTTCACAGGCCTGAGAAGTGCTACTCTCTTTTCTCTGAGGCCTCAGGCCACTATCTTTCTTTTCCCATTCATCTCCTGGTAAGTTGTATTTATTCTTCTCCCTCATTTCAGACTTCACTTCCAGTAGAAAATTTCTTAGAACTGTCCCACAGAACTATCAATGCTTTCTTGTTTTATTTTGCATTTACCCTACACAGCTATACTACCTGTTTACTTATCAGTATATCTCCTGAAACAGTAATTAGCACACATCAGGCACTCAGATATTTTTAAAGTGGTCTCCCTTAGTCCATTTTTTTTCACTATATAGACTACCTGAGACTGGGTAATGTATGAAGAATGTATTGGCTCACAGTTCTGGAAGTGGGAAGTCTAAGGTCAAGGCAGCTGCAGGTTTGGTGATTGTGATTCCCAGATGGTGCCTTGCATATGAAGTCTTCCAGAGGAGAGGAAGGTTGGATACTCACGTCGCAAGGGGCAGAAGAGGCAAGAGAGAAGAAGGCTGAACTCAACTGTCTATAGAGGCATACATCCCACCCATGTAGGCAATGAAATGACAATTAAATTTCAATGTGAGTTTTGGAGGAGACACTCAAATAATAGCTGGGTCATTGAAGAAATGAATAAATAAAACAGTACTGGATAATTTGTCAGGGATTTTGTTTTATTTCCTCTGTATCCCAGAATCTATTATAATACATAGGTCATAGTGAATCTATACTGAATGTTTTTAAATTAATGAATTAATTCATGAATGAGTCAGGCAAAGCTTGTACACACATGTACACACATGCACACACATGCACACTCACAGATACGCCAGGATGAGCAGGTTGCCTCTGCGGGCTCAGGTGGCCAGCTTTTATTCCCTTATCTGGCCCCGCCCACGTCCTGCTGATTGGTCCATTTTACAGAGCACTGATTGGTCCATTTTACAGAGTGCTGATTGGTTCGTTTTTACAGGGTGCTGATTGGTGCGTTTACAAACCTTTAGCTAGACACAGAGGGCTGATTGGTCCATTTTTGCAGAGTGCTGATTGGCGTGTTTACAAACCTTTTGCTAGACGCACAGCATTGATTGGTCCATTTTTACAGAGTGCTGATTGGTGCATTTACAAACCTTTAGCTAGACACAGAATGCTGATTGGTGTGTTTTTACAGAGTGCTGATTGGTGCATTTACAAACCTTTAGCTAGACACAGAGCACTGATTGGTGTGTTTACAATCCTCTAGCTAGACAGAAAAGTTCTCCAAGGCCCCACCCGAACCAGAAGCCCCGCTTGCTTCACCTCTCACCAGGATAATATGTTATATTAGGACCATTCAATCCAAGCCACTCTCATGTGGTTAATTGACATTGTCTCTTGAGTGTCCACTGAGAAATCATTCTGCAAGGTGCTAGGTGCTAAGGGACTCATAACCACTGAGTGCTCTCATCAAGGAGAGTGACTACTGCAGTAATATATTTGAAACAAATCTATGGTTTTCCTGGTGAATATCCTTAGTGGCCTCTTTTTTTGTTTTGCCCCCAGGATGAAATACAACCTATTTAACATGGTTTCCAGTGCCAAACCTTGCAATCTCCTCCTAATATGCCTTTCTGGGCTCAGCTGCTTCTGTTTCCCAACCACCATGCCTCTGACCCTCTGCCAATCCCAGACCCTCTGCAAATTCTGCAAGTTTACTCTGTTCCATCAGGCATCTAATTTTCAGCTGGTGCTCCCGCTTTCTGAAATATGTCTTCTCAGTTTTCCACTTAGGGAACTCTTTCTTATTCTTTAAACCCACATTCAAAATGTCATTCCTTTTGTGATACAGCTCAGAGTGATCCAATAAGTTTGTCACTGCATTTTCCTTGCACTAATGGTAATTCGTACAGACCTGTAGGATAAAACCTTTCAAACAGAATGGTCATTATTGATATGTATTTGTTGGTGAATGCAGTGTGCATCTTGATGTTAAGGAATATACCCTATTTATCTTTGAGATATACAACCCTCAGCATACTGATAGGCACTCAGTAAATATTTATGCAATAATAAATGTACAAAAACTGATTTCTTAGTTTATAATATAACACCATATATTATATTATAACTGAATTCATCATATCCCAATAGATGGGTCTCACTGTCTTATTTTTGCAGTTTAGGTTTGAAACATTACATTATAAAATTCTAATAAATTTTCTCAGCAGTTTATATCATAACAATAATTGTGAATGTTTGAGTCACATGCCTTAGACATCTGCTATTTTACAGTGTGCACAGTTTGTGTTATGTAGTATATAAGCTGTTAAATTATATGCCAGTACATTTGACAATAAATTAATAATGTAGTTTCTAAAGTAAGCATTCCTCAAATCAGGATTTCAGGTTCCATCCATGTTCTTTGATAAGTTGTAAGATCTTCAGTAGAGGACTATATTATTTCTGTAGTGTTAGCTGGAAGTAATTAATAAATATAGTATTTTATGTCACAATGCTCATCTTTGTACTGGTATTTCCATTACCTACATGCTTCTTTCCTTGATCAGAATCCTATCCTAATGATGACTAATGGTATCCCACAGAGGCAGAAAATGAAGGTATTGAAAGAGCAGGAATACACTTCTAGCTATAAAATTCTTACTGAAAGAGTTGCGTGCTTGAAATAGAACACAAATATAATTGAATGCTTAAAACTGAACACAAACATAATTAATGCTAGAGTGGATTTGGTTTCCAATAAAAGTATAAATGATTTAGTTTAAAATGTTTGAGATAAAAATATTAATTCTAGGTTGTGAATGTAAGAATGCATTTGGTAGCAAGGATTGAATAGATAAAAGCATAGTTCAAATAAGGTTTAAATGCTTTACATGTGAATTCCAAAAACAAGTTGTTTAGCATTTTGGTAGTGTTTAATATTTATATTATAAATCAAATTAATCAAGAGATTTATCACATTTTAAAATAAAATATATTAGATTAATATGGTTTAAAATTAACTAGAGTTTAATAGCAAAATGTAGTAACAATTGCAGTTATGAGAACGACTTAGAATCTGAAAAGGAATACATTTACTGCAACATGTACCTATATGAACATGACTTTGTGAACCACCTGGACCTTGAACATCTGCAAAGATGAAGATGCTGGTGACATTCAATAGCGATTTGATGAATTAATAAATATATATTATAAATTCTCTTACGTTTGTCTTTTTATGTCAGTGATATAGTTTGGCTGTGTCCCCACCCAAATCTCAAATTGAATTCTCAGGTGTTGTGGGAGGGACCTGGTGGGAGGTAATTGAATCATGGGGGTGGATCTTTCCCATGCTGTTCTCATGATAGGGAATAAGCCTCACAAAATCTGATGGTACTATAAGGGGGAGTTTCCCTGCACAAGCTCTTTCTTTTGCCTGCTGCCATCCATGTAACTAAGATGTGACTTGCTCCTCCTTGCCTTCTGCCGTGATTGTGAGGCCTCCCCAGCCACATGAAACTGTTAAGTCCAATAAACTTCTTTCTTTTGTAAATTGCCCAGTCTCGGGTATGTCTTTAGTAGCAGTGTGAAAACGGACTCATGCAATCAGCATGTTTGAAATGGCTGAAGTAGCTCCTTTCTTCAAAAGAACTCCAAACAAACCTAATTAAGAGGTGTTCTCTTTTTTTCACTTATATATTTTTTTCTAAATCATTGTTGAATTACATATATTGAGAGTGAACACAGGATTATCTGGGCCATTTTTATTTTAGGAATTCAAAGCACACATGCTTCTGCCTACCTAGAATGAGGAAAGAGTTGATAAAAGAGGTGACACATTGTGAACAGAATATTTTTATTATGCACACCTGGGATAGGTTGCTTTGGGCAAGAAGCTACTTGCCTGAACTGCACTAACATTTTCTCATGTATCCAGCAGCCTGCACTCTAATTTATAGTAAAAAGTCACCTGTTTATTATAAATATGATTGAGACTTCAAATGTAACAAATTTGACTCATTACATTTGAACAATTGCTTTATATCTCACAGTGTAGTGAAAAGTAATTGTTTTATCAGATGTTATTCTGTATTATAGTACAGCTGGGAATATATTCTTCAGGTGTCTTATGGCTAGTTCCTATGATTTTTATACAAAATTTGCAGTGTAAAAAAGGATAATTCTCTAGATAAACAATCATGTCGTCTGCAAACAGGGACAATTTGACTTCCTCTTTTCCTAATTGAATACCCTTTATTTCCTTCTCCTGCCTGATTGCCCTGGCCAGAACTTCCAACACTATGTTGAATAGGAGCGGTGAGAGAGGGCATCCCTGTCTTGTGCCAGTTTTCAAAGGGAATGCTTCCAGTTTTTGCCCATTCAGTATGATATTGGCTGTGGGTTTGTCATAGATAGCTCTTATTATTTTGAAATACGTCCCATCAATACCTAATTTATTGAGAGTTTTTAGCATGAAGGGTTGTTGAATTTTGTCAAAGGCTTTTTCTGCATCTATTGAGATAATCATGTGGTTTTTGTCTTTGGCTCTGTTTATATGCTGGATTACATTTATTGATTTGCGTATATTGAACCAGCCTTGCATCCCAGGGATGAAGCCCACTTGATCATGGTGGATAAGCTTTTTGATGTGCTGCTGGATTCGGTTTGCCAGTATTTTATTGAGGATTTTTGCATCAATGTTCATCAAGGATATTGGTCTAAAATTCTCTTTTTTGGTTGTGTCTCTGCCCGGCTTTGGTATCAGAATGATGCTGGCCTCATAAAATGAATTAGGGAGGATTCCCTCTTTTTCTATTGATTGGAATAGTTTCAGAAGGAATGGTACCAGTTCCTCCTTGTACCTCTGGTAGAATTCGTCTGTGAATCCATCTGGTCCTGGACTCTTTTTGGTTGGTAAACTATTGATTATTGCCACAATTTCAGAGCCTGTTATTGGTCTATTCAGAGATTCAACTTCTTCCTGGTTTAGTCTTGGGAGAGTGTATGTGTCAAGGAATGTATCCATTTCTTCTAGATTTTCTAGTTTATTTGCGTAGAGGTGTTTGTAGTATTCTCTGATGGTAGTTTGTATTTCTGTGGGATCGGTGGTGATATCCCCTTTATCATTTTTTATTGTGTCTATTTGATTCTTCTCTCTTTTTTTCTTTATTAGTCTTGCTAGCGGTCTATCAATTTTGTTGATCCTTTCAAAAAACCAGCTCCTGGATTCATTGATTTTTTGAAGGGTTTTTTGTGTCTCTATTTCCTTCAGTTCTGCTCTGATTTTAGTTATTTCTTGCCTTCTGCTAGCTTTTGAATGTGTTTGCTCTTGCTTTTCTAGTTCTTTTAATTGTGATGTTAGGGTGTCAATTTTGGATCTTTCCTGCTTTCTCTTGTGGGCATTTAGTGCTATAAATTTCCCTCTACACACTGCTTTGAATGCGTCCCAGAGATTCTGGTATGTGGTGTCTTTGTTCTCGTTGGTTTCAAAGAACATCTTTATTTCTGCCTTCATTTCGTTATGTACCCAGTAGTCATTCAGGAGCAGGTTGTTCAGTTTCCATGTAGTTGAGCGGCTTTGAGTGAGATTCTTAATCCTGAGTTCTAGTTTGATTGCACTGTGGTCTGAGAGATAGTTTGTTATAATTTCTGTTCTTTTACATTTGCTGAGGAGAGCTTTACTTCCAACTATGTGGTCAATTTTGGAATAGTTGTGGTGTGGTGCTGAAAAAAATGTATATTCTGTTGATTTGGGGTGGAGAGTTCTGTAGATGTCTATTAGGTCTGCTTGGTGCAGAGCTGAGTTCAATTCCTGGGTATCCTTGTTGACTTTCTGTCTCGTTGATCTGTCTAATATTGACAGTGGGGTGTTAAAGTCTCCCATTATTAATGTGTGGGAGTCTAAGTCTCTTTGTAGGTCACTCAGGACTTGCTTTATGAATCTGGGTGCTCCTGTATTGGGTGCATAAATATTTAGGATAGTTAGCTCCTCTTGTTGAATTGATCCCTTTACCATTATGTAATGGCCTTCTTTGTCTCTTTTGATCTTTGTTGGTTTAAAGTCTGTTTTATCAGAGACTAGGAGCCCAAAATCTCCTTAAGCTGATAAGCAACTTCAGCAAAGTCTCAGGATACAAAATCAATGTACAAAAATCACAAGCATTCTTATACACCAACAACAGACAAACAGAGAGCCAAATCATGGGTGAACTCCCATTCACAATTGCTTCAAAGAGAATAAAATACCTAGGAATCCAACTTACAAGGGATGTGAAGGACCTCTTCAAGGAGAACTACAAACCACTGCTCAAGGAAATAAAAGAGGATACAAACAAATGGAAGAACATTCCATGCTCATGGGTAGGAAGAATCAATATCGTGAAAATGGCCATACTGCCCAAGGTAATTTACAGATTCAATGCCATCCCCATCAAGCTACCAATGACTTTCTTCACAGAATTGGAAAAAACTACTTTAAAGTTCATATGGAACCAAAAAAGAGCCCGCATTGCCAAGTCAATCCTAAGCCAAAAGAACAAAGCTGGAGGCATCACACTACCTGACTTCAAACTTTACTACAAGGCTACAGTAACCAAAACAGCATGGTACTGGTACCAAAACAGAGATATAGATCAATGGAACAGAACAGAGCCCTCAGAAATAATGCCGCATATCTACAACTATCTGATCTTTGACAAACCTGAGAAAAACAAGCAATGGGGAAAGGATTCCCTATTTAATAAATGGTGCTGGGAAAACTGGCTAGCCATATGTAGAAAGCTGAAACTGGATCCCTTCCTTACACCTTATACAAAAATCAATTCAAGATGGATTAAAGATTTAAACGTTAAACCTAAAACCATAAAAACCCTAGAAGAAAACCTAGGCATTACCATTCAGGACATAGGCGTGGGCAAGGACTTCATGTCCAAAACACCAAAAGCAATGGCAACAAAAGACAAAATTGACAAATGGGATCTAATTAAACTAAAGAGCTTCTGCACAGCAAAAGAAACTACCATCAGAGTGAACAGGCAACCTACAACATGGGAGAAAATTTTCGCAACCTACTCATCTGACAAAGGGCTAATATCCAGAATCTACAATGAACTCAAACAAATTTACAAGAAAAAAACAAACAACCCCATCAAAAAGTGGGCGAAGGACATGAACAGACACTTCTCAAAAGAAGACATTTATGCAGCCAAAAAACACATGAAGAAATGCTCATCATCACTGGCCATCAGAGAAATGCAAATCAAAACCACTATGAGATATCATCTCACACCAGTTAGAATGGCAATCATTAAAAAGTCAGGAAACAACAGGTGCTGGAGAGGATGTGGAGAAATAGGAACACTTTTACACTGTTGGTGGGACTGTAAACTAGTTCAACCATTGTGGAAGTCAGTTTGGCGATTCCTCAGGGATCTAGAACTAGAAATACCATTTGACCCAGCCATCCCATTACTGGGTATATACCCAAATGAGTATAAATCATGCTGCTATAAAGACACATGCACACGTATGTTTATTGCGGCACTATTCACAATAGCAAAGACTTGGAACCAACCCAAATGTCCAACAATGATAGACTGGATTAAGAAAATGTGGCACATATACACCATGGAATACTATGCAGCCATAAAAAATGATGAGTTCATATCCTTTGTAGGGACATGGATGAAATTGGAAACCATCATTCTCAGTAAACTATCGCAAGAACAAAAAACCAAACACCGCATATTCTCACTCATAGGTGGGAATTGAACAATGAGATCACATGGACACAGGAAGGGGACTATCACACTCTGGGGACTGTGGTGGGGTCGGGGGATGGGGGAGGGATAGCATTGGGAGATATACCTAATGCTAGATGACACATTAGTGGGTGCAGCACACCAGCATGGCACATGTATACATATGTAACTAACCTGCACAATGTGCACATGTACCCTAAAACTTAGAGTATAAAAAAAAAAAAAAAAAAAGGATAATTCTCAATTCTCTGAAATTTTTTATGTGATTAGATGCTTATTCCCATAAATTCTTCTGAGGTCAGAAGAAGAGCAGCACAATCATTCTCAGATCTGAAACCATATATTACAGAAACATGCTGCTTAATGTGATATGTTGGGTAAGTGAGGATCATATTAATAACGCATCAGATCAATAATATCTGTGTTTACTATGTGAAGATATTATTATAAGCAGCTTACATATGCTGACTCATTTAGTCCTCAGGATAACTTTATGATGAAGACATTATTACAATCCTTTTCTCTCTGTTTAAAAAAATGAGCAAACTGAGGCATAGAGAAGCAAATATTCCAGGATCACACAACCATCCAGATCAGTGCTCAGGATTATAAACCAAGGCAGCCTAGCACCCAAATCTAGGGATGTAAGCTGCCTGGTGACTTGTACCCCCAAGACTTAGCAGCAATCACTGGAGTTAGGTGGTGGGTATCTGTATTGTTACCAGCTCTGTAGTTTATTCTGAAGTACATTTTTTGAGTCATATAACATAGGGTTTGAATTCTGACTGTGTGAGTATGTACTGACTATGTGAAGTTGGACAAGTTATTTAATCTTGCTGAGCCTCAATTTCTTCAGTAAAATGGGGAGACATTTACCACTTAGAGTTGTGGGTGAATTAGGTGAGCTGTCATATGTGAAGCACTTGTACAGAGTACATGTTTAAGAAAGAGAAGGTATTGCTATTATTATTATGGAGGGTTGACAAAATCTTTCTATGCTCAAATAACTCTCTTCGAAAAGTATTTTTGTGGGGGTGTGAAGGTACTCATTACACTATAATTTTTAAAGTTTGGCCCACTTTGGAACAGTGCCTTCTCATTAATTCAAGAAGAGATAAATTTATGGTCTACTTTTCATTATGACTTCCATTAGCACGTTGACCTGATTTCAGAGAAACTCTTAAAACAGTATCTCACGGCAATATATTGCTTAACATGATACATTGGGTAATAGAGGAAATGGCTCCTTGCCAGTGACTGTCCTGGCTCTCTCCTTATCTCCTTATGAGTGGGAAGTAGTCTGTGGGCAAGTCCCTGAGCAGAAGAGATGAAAATCAGAAGATCGCCTCAGTTTGGGTCTCCTGCCTTTAGAGAAAACTCAAGAGAGCACTGGCTGATGTAAGGAGATAATATACTGGAATATGCCAGTTAGCTCATATCCCATTTATCACCTTTCCCCATTTCAACCAGAGACACTCAATACTTTGACAATGGTTGGATGATTATAAAAGAAAAACTGTTTAACTTTTGTCTTCCAAAATGGACTCTTGTAGCCCAATTCAGAGAAAGCGTTGTGAAAGACAAAGCTTTTGATGCAAGCTTTGAGAGCAAGACCCAGGAGAGGAAAACAGCATTTCAGAAGTCCACCAGTAAAGCCCTAAAGGAACAGTGAAACCCTACATAATAAAAATTGAAAACAAGATAGGTGACCAGTCAGAAGACTCTGACCTGGGGGTAAAAGGTGGGTGGGAATTGGGAAGCCCAGCCTTAGAGAGTAAAGAGAGAGGAGGGAGACTAGGGAGGAGGCCAGTGGGCTCCATGAGTGGCAAGTCCTCATGTAGGAGACAATGCCTAGTCTCTTAGGGTGGGCACATTTCATGGCCAGAATCATGAAGCTGTGGACATGAGCCTCACCTGCAGACTGTCCATAACAGTGTGTGATGGTTCCTGCCAAGGCGCTGTTAACGCCTTCATCATGTCTGTGAGGGCTCTCTAGAGAGAGACCCATTGACCCTCCAACAGCAGTGATGCTGCCCGGGCCTCGACACTTCACTTGGCCCATCTAAACTAATTTGTGTGGAAAATCCTCCACTTCAACAATGCAGGACACTCGTAATCTCCTGAACAAAAACAGTGGGATCCTGAATTTACTACTGGGACTATTGTACAATATAAGGTACCCAGCATCTTGACCCACGCAGCTGAAGAGAAACAGCTTGATTTTTTTTTCCCAGTTGGGAAAATAGCCAAACATACTGTCAGTTTTGGACTATGCAAATTATAAGCATCATGCTCTGTGAAGAGTAAACATTATGCACTTTGTAAGAATGATGTATGTCCTGCTTTTCACAGTTGGTCACCTTATTAGTTTAGGAGGCAATAGAGTGGTAGTAAAACTGCTGAATAGCAGAGACTATGTTTAATGAGAGGCAGCAGACACTTGGAGGAAAAGAGAGGGTAACAAAAATATGAGTTATTTGATTTTTCATTGCAGAAATCATTTCAAGGAAAACACTGCTGGCAAGGGGATTATTGTTCTTATTTAACTTATAGGAGATCATTTTAAAAGTTTACAGAACTTTTAAACATGGATCTTTCAACCTCAAATTACTCACATTTGTATATTTCCATTTGTTCCTTTTTATACCTTCACAAAGAAGGAAAGCAGATATTTGTAAATTTTACTTTACAAAGGCAGAAGTAGAGTTTCTACTGTGGGGAAACTGACAAACAAAAGAACTAAGTGACCTTGGAAAAATCTCTTGTCATGAATTTCTTTTGACACAAAAAAGACGGCGTTTACCATCATTTGGTAAATGTATGTATGAAGAAAAGGTAGTTTGTTCTGAAATGAATGTTCTAAAAGTTCTATGGGAATATTTTCATATCTGAATTTGTTCAAGAAGTCAAATATACACTTCCATGCAGCTGAGGGAATTTAGAATGCAAGCAACAGCTTTGATTTTACAATGAGGTTATTAGTTACTCATTTTTCTTAAAGAGGACTTCAGTTGAAATTTGAAGGGCTCTTTTGCCCAAGTCAAAGCTGTTATGGTAAATGATTCTTACCTAATGCTTCCCAGCAATAGTCACTACTTGAGTCCATTATGTCTTAGGTTATTTTATTATCACCTTCCTTGGCATAGTCATGTAGGATTTACATAACTTTGTGTGTGTCTGATTGCAGGTGCCGGGATGCCAAAAAGGAAATGAAAGCCAGGATCCATCTGGAGACCTCTACACATTCTCTGTTGCAAAAGGCTGATGAATGAAGGTAGGAGGACACTCATGGGGACAAACATCTTTGATTTGCAAATAGACTTATTCCTCCAATATTAACCCTGATGTTTGTCACAGGATGTGAGTTATCATGGTAATGTGGGTGGGAGTTAATGGCAGTGTTAAAGCTAGTTTGAAAGGAGTTTTAGTGGATAATGTTTTTGAGCCTTAGTTAAAAAAAAAAAGGTATCCATTGAGCCTCATATAACTTCTTGAGGTAGGTAGCAAAGGTATTATTACCACCTCTATTTTGTGGATGAGGAAACTGTGGCTCTGAAAGATCAAATGACTTGCCTAGGGTCATACTCTCAACCATCCATATTTCTCTCTATTAAAGAAAATAAAACACTGGACTCAATTTGAGAATTCTCCAAGAGTGAGAGTAGAAGGGTCTGGTATTGCTTATCTGCAACTCCATAGGGGAGGCAACACTGTAGGATTACTTTAAATACTGAGGGAATGGGAATCTCCAATGATCTTTTGGATTATGAGTATCAGTATGAAGGAACCTCAAACTCAAGGCTAAAACCAGTATTGTAATGTAACATAACTGGACTCCTAGTAAATGGCCTGGGTTGGAAACATCAGCTGGTGAATATCAGGGACAGCACAACTGCATCAGCTAAGACCCAAGAGAAGTGGAGCACAGTGCCCTCTGCAATCTCTGAGAGTTGAGAGAAAAGTTGAAACAACAGGATTTCAGAAAAAATTGAGCAAGGGAACTCCCCAGGTCTAAAGATCATTTTTATATCCCTCCCCTTGCCAGCTGCTAAAACACCTCTTTTGCAAACTCTCCTGAAATGACTTCAGCAGGATTTGCCACTATTGTGACTCCCCTTGACTTTAGGAGAGCCTCTAAACCTTGGGTTGGCAAGTTTCAAACCATCTATTGCCTATTTTTGTAAATATGGTTTTATTGGAACACAGGCATTCCCATGTATTTACATATTGTCTGTGGCTATTTTCATACTATGAAGACAAATTTGAGTAGCTGCAACAGAGACCATATGGCCTGCAAAACAAAACAAAACAAAACAGCCTTCCAGACCTTTACAAAAAATGTTTGCTGACCTTTGTCCTAGACTATTAATAGAAACGTGCCTTAATCTTGATGTGAGCTCTGATTGGTCAGGAATTACTGCCTGGACTTACTGTGTTGAAAAGTCTGAGTCTCTGGTTGATAAGAAAGTGTGCAGGGATCTATTAGCAATGTCTGCTATAGATACAGAAGCTAGGATTGGTGACACTTGTGCCAAGTATTTGTAATTCTCTACTGTAGGGTTTTATTTTTCCACTCTGCTGTGAGACCAACCAACCTTAGCCAACAAATTCACTGATGCCTTGAGGATTGTTCTTAATATGAAGCCAGGCAGGAGACTTCTATTGTAAGGCAAATTTAATATGTTCTTGAATAAATTAATTAATGTGACTAGTCACAGCTGTGACTTGAATGTTACAAACTTTACTATATAGTTTACAAATATTATCTTATTTGTCTTTACAAATCTGAAAGATATATATTTGTCTTTATTTTGTGGCTAAGGATATTAAGATATAGGAAATTAGCTACTTTTAGTGTTGAACTCAAATATGGTTCCAAAGAAAATAATTTCATTCTGTTGGGTTAATTTAAATTGGAGAGGAATCAAAATGTCATTTTTAGCCTTTTCTGATGCATACAATTCAACAAGTAGGATTTAAAGTTGTACTTCTAAGAGAAATATCCCTGGGGGACTTAAACTATTGGTCATTCACACTTTTACATGTAATACCTCAATATGACCATTTTGCCTCTTAAAAACAATCACAATTTCAAATATTGTATAAATATAATAGGAAGTTGTTTATAAGGAATTTTTTGCTTGTTTGTATGTTTTAGGAAAGAAAGTTAGAGAAGCAGTTTGGGGGCATGAAGTGTTCTTGGGGCAAACAGGATATTCAGAGATTTAGTGTTTGCAAAAGAGAATGTTTGAATCATAGCTGGGGCCTAGTAGGTAGCTATGGAATAAATTTTTCTGGCTAGTTTTAGCCAATATTGTTTTGATTGAAACTAGCAGAAACTTTTCAGAGCTAACTTATGTTGAAGAGCATTTATTAAAAGAATGCATTTTTTTTTCTCATGGAATGTAAGGGCAAAAAAGTATAGCTGGTCTCTGAAAGGAACTGGATCTAACCAAAAATTCTCTCTTTCATGGGTGTGCTTTCTTTCTCCAGCTTCTTTTATTTCTTTGCATTCATGCTAGAAAAATAACTGCCCTAAATGGGAGCAACATTACTTTTTAGACTTTGTCATAGATCTGGGATTGGGAATTAGATGTTGTGTCAGGACCTTAATTCTCAAATCATGACCAAATATGAGAAGGGCCAGCAACTTACCTAAATCCAAGTTTCAACCCCAGATAATCTTATATCCCCATGAAGAGGGGACAATTTTCATGGGACCTGGAGAGGAGCTAAAATTAAAAGCAACTCTCTGAAGCTTAACAGTTTGAAAATGGGTCTAGTTTCTTGGGGTTGGTAAGAGAATGAGAATGGTTATAGCCAGGCCTACCTTATCAAGTCCTGTTGGCCCCTTTTTGAGAAAGAGGCAGAAATTTTATGGATCACCTATCCCTGAAGACACTAACTTTGAGAATAAAGTTCCTTATTGTTAATTTTGCTAGATCAAATCTTCTTTAAGACTGAGCAATTCCAATTATTCTCTCACTGCTTCACACCACTCTGAGATTGAAAGGCAAGAATCATAATAGCTATTACACCTGCCAGCAAGTCAAATCTTTCAGGCTGAAGAATATGAAAGAAGAAAAAGAGACAGACTCACCAGTGACTTATTTACTCAAATGTCACTACTTCTTTATTTCAGTTTCTTTTGCACAGTCTTCTTCTAGCATCTACTAATTCATCCAGTGATCAACTTCACAATTATCGCTCTCCTTTTCCACCTCTTTCTACACTCAACATTGACAATAAAATATTGAAATATGACAAGAATAAATGCAAATAATATTTCTAGATATTTGAGGTCTCAGGGAAGATAAATCACAAGTAGACATAGAATTTGTTTTCAATGAGTTTTGTTAATGGAAAGGTTTTATTAGCATATATATATATATATACATATATATGTATATACACACACACACAAGATGGCACAAACAAATCATAGTTGTCATAATATATTCAAAGTGTTCAATGCTGAACAGGAAAAAGAACGTGCTTCAGCTTCAGTGATGATGTGGCTAGAAGGAAGGTATCCTATTCTTGGAGACCTATAATATAAAGTTCAAAAAGCTTATTCAAACCCATCTGCAGGCATCACTGGATTATCAGTAAATATCCTTAGAATCAGGATTTGTTTGATTTTGGTGTGAGATTACTTAATATTCAGGAGAAAAAGCAAAATTCAACATTTTATTTGAAAAATTTGATAAATATGATTCATATATAATGTTAATAAACATAAATATATTAAAATATGTATAATAATCAACAAGATCCAGGGAGGTAAAATATTTTGCCGAAGATCACATGGCTAGGAAATATTAATAATTTATTGCAGTGTAAAGAAACATCAATTAAGTAGCAAGAAATAAAACAGGTTATAATCTTTGCTTCATTATTGACTAATGTTGAGCAATTTGCTTACAATTTCTGAAGGTCAAGCTAAGATTTATATCTCCAGCATGTATACAGCATTTACAAATCAAATTGGTCAAATTAGGTGAATAAATTTCATAAGTTAGAAAGACAAATTACAAATAAATGCGTGAAAAATTTGCAGTAGTTAATCAAAGACTTATCAAACAAACAATGAAGCATGGTTTGCTTTTCAAAATGCTATAGATTAAAATATATATATATATAAAGTTTCAAATGTCTCAGTGGAATACACCCTTTCAAACACTTTGGTAAAAGTTAAATTTGCATAGACACTTTGGTATTCAACATAAAATGACTTTATTTTGAAGAATTGATGCTAAGGATACAGATATACAGGCAAATGTCAAGGAAGCTTATGAAAGCATTATTACAGTAAAATATTGGAAACTTATTTTAAATATTAGATACTGTACATTCATAAAATTCATATTCTAAAAGAAAATTCACAAATGTAAGAAAACAAACATGATATAGTGTTAATTGAAAACATGACAAAATACTATGTATATAGCTATATCTATATATATAGAAAATGATACTGTTTTTATATAAATATATGTATAGTTACAAATAAATGAATAAGAAAGGGCCTAGAAGGAAATATGGTATCAACAGAAATTAACTTTAGGTGGTGAGCCTATTAGATGATATTCATTTACTTCTATATATATATTACTGAATATTCTTCAGAGAACAGAAACTAATTTTACATTAAGAAAATTAGACCATACATTAATTGCTTCAGGAAAAAAATAGAAATTGAAAAAAAATTCTATATTTATGGAAGAAATTATAAAAGTCACATAATAATCACTTCTTAAAAGTACTTATAGACTGTTTAGCTGGTAAATTTTCTCTAAGTTATGAAGCACAAATAATTCCCATCATATATAAACTGTTTCATTTGTGAAAGATAAAAAAGTATCCAATTTATTAATTCTTTAATAATACTATGAAAACATTAGACAGTTTGCAACAGCAATGAAAAAAACATAGATTAATTTTCCTTATGACTACAAGGGCAAAAATCCCTAATAAAATGCAAGAAAGGGCTGCATGTTGTGGCTCACCCCTGTAATATCCAGCACTTTGGGAGGCTGAAGCAGGTAGATCATTTAAGGCCAGGAGTTCAACACCAGCCTGGCCAACCTGGTGAAACCCCGTCTCTACTAAAAATACAAAAATTTGCCAGGTTGTAGTGGCACGCACCTGTAGTTCCAGCTACTCAGGAGGCTGAGGCAGGAGAATGGCTTGAACCCAGGAGGCAGATGTTGTGCTGAGCCGAGATCATGCCATTGCACTCCAGTCTGGGTGACAGAGTGAAACCCTCTCTCAAAAAAAAAAAAAAAAAAAAAAAAAAAGCAAGAAAGTTGAACTCAATAGTATATTTGAAGTCCACCCACAACCAAGAAGGATTCATGTGATAATTTCAAGGATGATTTAGTATTAGACAATCTGTTTATACAATAATTTGGATAGGTTTAACGAGAATAAATAGATTAGAGACAATATGTTATAATTTCAGTGCAATCTGAAAATGCAATGCTGTGTGATAACACACAGCATTTATTCTTCATAAAACAATCCTAAAAGCTGGAATAGAAGTATTTCTTAACATCAATATTTATTTGGAACCAATAATTATTTTTTTTAAATATGCAACACCAAAGACCTTTCCACTTAAATCAGAAACAGACACACTATTTGTTAATCAGTTCTATGGCAGGGACTAGGAAACATGCTGGGTATACCAGAGGGGAGCAAAACAGACATTATCCCTGCTCTGATGTTACTTCCAGTGTAGCACTGTAGTAGAATATATACAAGGAATAGGAAATTATATAATTTCTATTTGCATAAATACAATTTTCATGTGAGAAGTATTATGAAGAAAATTAACAGAATAATGAAATAAAATTAATGGTAGGTTAGTAGGATGCTATGTAGAGTGTTTGCCAGAGAAGCTCTCACTAGAGAGGTATCATTTAAGCTAAGATTGGGAGGATAGGAAAGCAAAATACTTATTACTGTTTTTTCATGGTGGCCATTTACTATAGCTCTTGAATTTATAGCAATTCAATGAAAGAATAAATAGATATAAAATGTATAATACTTGAGGAGACAAAAGTATTATTACTTGTAGATAATATGTCTACATATACACCCATACAGGAAGAAGATAAGCTAATTATTAGGATTAAGAAATATAATTCAGCAAAGGGATCAGACATAGGATAAGCATTTTTTTAATCAATGGCTTTCTTATATACTAAAAGTAAGCAAGTAGGAGATGAATGGGGGTAATATTTCCCATTATCAATAATGACAAAAGTCAGAAAATATTTAGTAATAATTTTCACAAGAAAAGTTTACATAAAGAAAATTACAAATATTTACTTGATGATATTAAAGTAATACTTGTATTGGTGGAAAATTATACCAGCTCCTGTGTGGGAAGACAAAGAAAATATCTTAAAGGTATCATTTCTTCCCTAATTTGTAGTTTTATAGCATTTCAAGTATAAGCACTTGTATAACTTTGAAAAAATAATTTAAAAATCTAGATTAAAAATGTGTGTAATAGGGGAAAAACTTTCTCTGACCATTAGTAAAGTGTATTACAAAATCACAGAGATTACAATAGTGTGGGGTTTGAGTAAGAAAAGCCTGGTTCATCAAAGGAGCAGTAGAGTTAGACCTAAAATAAATCTTACTATATATAAAAATGTATTATATAATAAATATTATAAATAATGAAGAACAAGTTATTCAGTGCAGGATATTGAAAACAGTTTTATTTTTACTTCATACTATATATAATTAAGTATTTAAAAATAATACTCTGAACAACTAGACATTTCTGTAGATGAGTATTGAACTGACATTGAGATAGGAAACTGCATATTAAGTCTAAAAATGTAGAAAATTTTAACTGTTCAAAAGTTATGGGCTTAAGAAATCATAAACAGAGTAGACAACCTACAGAATGGGAGAAAATATTTGCAAACTATGCATTCGACAAAGGCGTAACATCCAGATCTATAAGGAACTTAAACAAATTAACAAGCAAAAACCTAACAACCTGATTAAAGGATATGAACACACACTTCTCAAAAGAAGATGTACATGTGGCCAACAGGCATATGAAAAAATGCTCAACATCACTATCATTAGAGAAATACAAATCCAAACCACAATGAGTTGCCATTTCATGTCAGTCAGAATGGCAATGATTTAAAATGTCAAAAAACAACAGATGCTGGTGAGGTTGCAGAGAAAAAGGAACACTTTTACACTGTTGATGGGAGTGTAATTAGTTCAACCACTGTGGCGATTCCTCAAAGATAGAGAGGCAGAAATACCATTTGCCCCAGCAATCCCATTACTGGGTATATACCCAAAGGAATATAAATCATTTTGTTATAAAGGTACATGTATATGTGTTCATTGCAGCATTATTCACAATAGCAAAGACATGGAATCAACCCAAATGCCCATCAATGATAGACTGGATAAAGAAAATGTGGCACATTTTCACCATGGAATACTATGCACCCATATGAAAGAATAAAATCACATCCTCTGCAGCAACATGGATGCAGCTGGAGGCTGTTATCCCAAATGAACTAATGCAGGAACAGAAAACTAAATACTGCATATTCTCACTTATTAGTGGGAGCTAAACATTGAGTACACATAGACACAAAGAAGGAAACAATAGACACCAGGGCTACTGAAGGGTGAAGGGTGGGAGGAGGGTGAGGACTGAAAAACTACCTATTAGGTACTATGCTCATTACCTGGATAATAATCTGTATACCAAACCCCTGCAACATGCAGTTTACATCTTGTAACAAACCTACACATGTACCCCCTGAACCTAAAATAAAAGTTGGAAAGGAAAAATAACATTATGAGCTTAAAGCAAACAAAAATAAAAGATCCTTGACAAATTGGGAAAAGATGTTTAGGGAACAATAAAAATATTTTTAAAACCTCAGTATCTGTGAAGCCCAACAAAGAATAAGACAGTAATAAACAATAGATGAAATGGGCAAGGAACATAAGCAGACATTTCAAAAGATTAAAAAAAGCTTATCTTCATTAGTAATTCAGGAATAAATATTAAAATAACATGCCATTTTCACCTATCAATTAATAAATATATACTTTAAAAAATGTTTAAATGCAGTGACAGATATAGTTTAAAAGGCACTCTAACATCCTGTTATAGAAATGAACATTGGTGTGACCTTTCTGCAAAATAGGTTGGTCATTTGTGTAAGATTTTTAAGAGTTCATATCTTTGGTTGATAATTACAGTTGAGGGGAACTCAACAGAATAAATTAATCAAAGCTGCTAACAAAGATTTAGGTATATGAATGCTAGTCATAGCATTATTTATAACCAGAAAAACTTGAAAACAACTAAAATGTGCAACAATAGAGAATTATGTTAAGTACTATATTTATATGATAATATGTTCCTTTCAAATTAAATGTTTTTGAAGAATGTTTAATTACATGGATAATGCTCACAAAATTTTAAGTAAAAATGATCAAATTATTAAGTAAAAATAAAACTAAATACAAACTATGACCAAAAATTTCCAAATACAGTATATATGAAGGTGAATGGATACATAGAAAAAAATTAAAATATTAATTAAACTATAATTATTTCTGTGTAGTAACATTAGGAATATTTTCTCTTTGCTATATTATTCTGTAGTTCCTAATTATTTTAAATCTTTATCATGTATTCATTGATGTCCAGGAAAGCCATCTAATAACAAATAACATTAACAATAAAAATGTATACAATAAGGATTTTGTAACAATAATCATTCTTTACAGGATCAAATGAATAATCTATACGTACATAATGAAATTTAGGAGGAAACATAGAACTTACAAATTTTTACTGCTAATTTTTATAGCTGTAACCCTTAAGTTAAGCAAGTTTACAGTTAAACACCAGTAAAAACTGTGTAAAGATTTATAATTTTGTACTAATTAAAGATAATTTCTCACATTTCTTGACAGAATGGGGTTATACTACATTTTTTAAATCATATTATAAATGAAATCATGTTTCAAAGTAATAATCTACTCACTATGATTTTCACAATGTTATTAGAAGAAATCAGTTGAGCATGTTCTTCAGTTTTGGTGCTATCATTATAACAGCAGCCTTTACAGGAACACCCTCTGTCCCCTTTTCTGTGTATGCAAATTATCAAAGTCTTGCCCCTGAGATAGTGATGCTTCCTACTGAAAGACATCAGAAAAATTCTTAATTCTAGCGAGCTAATCTTCCCTTGTAATGTGCTCTTCTCTGGCTTTAGCCATGAACTGTATTCTCAGGGTTGAGTCTCTTTGATTGGTGGAAAGAATGCATATTTCTAATTATCCGATAGTAAAAAATAAATCTCTAACATACTGTGATGCCTAACATGAAGTTCCTTTGAAAACAACTGAAAATAAACATCTGCATCAAATTCTTATCGTTTTCGCTCTTAGTTATTTTGTTTTTTGTTTTAACGTTTGGACTCAACTTTCCCCAAGTTGCTCAAAGATTCAGATAATTGACCGAAGACACCTGAGGCTGAGAAATGTGCTAGTAGTTGATGTCTGACATGTTATCAGGGGAAGAGAGGATGGATTGACCCTTCCGAAAAATACCTTTAAAATTTAAACTAGCTTCATTTCTCATAGGCTTCCCTGTTTACTCTGGAATACTCTTGTTATCACAGAGAAACTAAGTATTAAATATTTTCTATGTCAATTCTGGAATGAATGAATAATTAGAGATTAACAGGGGTATAAGTCATTCAGATTTAACCGCGTCAAAGAGTAGTTCTCAGTTTTCATTCTGAAATAGTTTCAAAAATAAGTATAAGCAGGGCTTAATGTTTATAAAAGCTCTTCCACATCACATATCAATTTATTCATTCAATGAACACGGGAAATAGGTAAGATTGTATCATCATTATTCTCATATTATGGAAGAGGGACAAGAGATTCAGAGATATGTGCTTTGCTCCAGGTCACAGAGTTATAGGCACAAGAGAAAGGATTAAGATCCAGTTCTTCTGACCCCACTGTACAACATTGTTTATCTATTAGACACCCAAATATCCAAATGCAAGTTGTAATTCATTAGTACTTCTCATAAAACAAAAGGAAATCCTTGACTGTACTAAATTCCTGGGTATCAAATCACAAATCAGTATTTTTTAAGAAAATTAAGTTTAATTTATGCCAAGTACTTACATTGGTATCAATTTATATTTTCGTGACTCATATCACAAACCATGTCATTCCTTTGAATATGGAAAGCCCGAGTAGAATATTTATGAAAAGCATTTAACTCTATGGAATGAAAGGAATGACCCAGTCCCTGGATAATTGCAGGATTTAATTCTACAGAATTGTTACTGGTAGTAGATGCTGACCTTTAATTCACAGTTCCTAAATACACTACCTAAGCAGGAGTATAATTATATAAGGTACGTTTCAAGCCAACATTAAAAAAAAACTAAGATTTGTGGGAAATATAATACAAGAATGTGAGAGAGAGTTTCACAAATGCATTTAGTGCCGGACTAGAGAAGAACATGTCCAGGCTTCACCCCTTGAAACAGACTCAGTCTGAGAAATTAAGAAATTGTGTACATCTCTGGAACCAGAAAACTAGGGACTGTACCATTGAATCAGAAAACTTAACCAGTTGTCTCTGATTATCAGTGCTTCTCCATGGGATGGCAGAAACACTGTATCTCACTTTTGCGTATTTATTCATTAAAAGAAAATGGAAAAAATATCAAAAATGAGAGATGTAAGAACTTTCATTGCAGTAAATGCTGTAAGAGAAAAAATGTTAATAACTCATTCAATTCAGAATCAGAAAGAATGAGCAGTGAGAATAGGATATTTCACTTGAATAGAGCAATGATGCACAATACACCAGAAGATGGAGGAAACTATGACAAAATTTGGAATGGAAATAATGCATCTATTTTTCCTCTAGTTGAGGACAAAACTAATAATCAGATTTGTTGTTCATCTGATAAGGGAGACTAAAAGCAACCAATTTATTATCAAGTCTAAATTAATTTTGCTTAGTTGGAAGATGGATCGAAAGACAGAGACAAAACTAAATCCATGAGGGCTCTAGTAAATCAGTGCACAACAAGGGAAAAAGTGTTATTCTGAATAGTTAAAGATAAGTTTACCTGAGAAAATAACTGTAGAATTCAGAATATTTCGTAAGACCTAGCTTCCTCACTAGAAAGC
The DNA here is from genome assembly GCF_000001405.40 of Homo sapiens. NCBI lineage: Eukaryota > Metazoa > Chordata > Mammalia > Primates > Hominidae > Homo > Homo sapiens. The sequence continues at coordinate 52,222 of NT_187578.1, forward strand.
AAGAAAAGAGGCCAGGCTCAGTGGCTCACGCCTGTAATCCCAACACTTTGGGAGCCCGAAGTGAGTGGATCACGAGGTCAGGAGTTTGAGACCAGTCTGACCAACATGGTGAAACCCTATCTCTACTAAAAATACAAAAATTAGCTAGGGAGGTGGCATATGCCTGTAATCCCAGCTGCTCAGAAGGCTGAGGCAGGAGAATCGCTTGAACCTGGGAGGCAGAGGTTGCAGTGAGCCGAGATTGTGCCACTGCATTCCAGCCTGGGTGACAGCAAGACTCCGTCTCAAAAAAAAAAAAAAAAAAAAAAAAAAGGAAAGAAACATATTTCCCAGGAAATTATAAAAGCCATGAAGAAATCATAAGATAAACCCAAAAGACAGGAGAATGAAATATAAAGGAATATGGATACTATAACAAGGACTTGGAGGCAACAAAAATATAAAACCAGCACTAAAAGTATATTTCTGGCAATAGCAGACCAGATTGCTTGGATTAATCCTATTACTGAGAACAACTAGAAAAGCTAGACAAAGTAAAAACAATGTATGTTTGAAGGCATTGGAGGATTACTAAAATAGAAGGGATTTGCAGGAAAAAAAAATCTGGGAAATAAGTTAACCTTGCATTTGGCACTTTTTTTCTCAAGACAGTTTGCTGATTCTGAAAGTGTCAGCCTAGAGGTTGAGAAATTGATCTCAACTTGTAGCAGACTAACAGGGCTGGTGGTGTGAGAAATGAAGTTCAGAGTACACCAATGGGGAGAGACCCTGGTCTACACTTTTCAGTAGGGACAATGAAAGGCTACAATTTAAGAATAAGAATAAATTCAAAAGGGAGCAGCTCTGCATAGCAGGTGCCAACAAATGTTTTAGCTTTTCTATAAAGGACCAGATGATAAATATTTTAGACTTTGCAGGCTTCACACTCAAATCTGCTATTGTAGCATGAGAGCAGACATAGACAGTATGTAAACACCTGGGCATGGCTGAATGTTCCTCTATTTGCAAAACAGGCTCAGAATCCTGTCCTTTTTTGGAAGGTATTGTTGAATAGGTTATTGGCTAGGATGCCAGGGTCAGATTGGCAGCTAGAATAGTAGACACCTGCTTCCTAAGGGGTGATGGAAGGTGAAGGCAACGAGAGATTTAGGTAACTTCTGCTGCAGTTTGGGGTTATTTCTTGTGTGGTAGGCAGAATAATGCCCTACCCAACATGTCCAAATTGTAACCCCAGGAACCCGTCAACATGTTGTAATGTGGCAAAGGTTGCAGATGGAATTAAGGTAGCTGATCAACTGACCCAAAGACAAGGAGATTACCTGAATTACACAGGTGGGTGCAATATAATCATAAATGTATTTAAAAGAGGAAGAGGAAGGCAGAAGAGAGAGTTAGAATAGATAGGGAGACGAGAGTATGGAAGCAGTGACCAGAATTATGCAATGTGAGAAAGTCTTGATTAGCCATTGCTGGTTTTGAAGATGGAAGTGGGCCATGAGATGAGAAACGCAGACAGCCTCTAGAAGTTGGAATATGCAAGAAAACAGAATCTCTTCTAGTGCCTCCAGAAAGGAGCACAGCCTGATTTTATCCACTGGGACTCACTTGGTACTTCCAACCTCCAAATTTGTAAGGTAATAAATTTGTTGTGTTTGTGGCAATTTGTTATAGCAACACTCCTCTTACCTGGGGATGGAGCTGACAATGCAGGTGGGGTAAAAGGAGATCCATGGATTGGCAGAAGGAGGAATGCAGAGATGGAGAATTAGGCTGGAACCAACACTACTCACTTGGTTTGCAACTGAATTATGCAAACCAACAAGGTATCGGTTTTATGAATGCTGTATTCTAATAATTCAAATCAAGAACAATTACCCCACTCTGCATAATCCTGCATGATTTAATGTTTCTTTAAAATGAGAACGTCCATAATTAACTCATTTATTTATCCAGCCCCCGTTATTTTCATCCTGCTCTTTGTCAGATGAGATTATGACTTATAATAATAAAAAATAAAAATTGCTTCTTGTGAAAAAAGAAGTCTATCCATAAGACCTGAAGCTGAATAAGTCTCATTACATATAAATTCGCAAAGTGGCAATCGTGACAGGCACTATTTCACCTTTGTAGGCACAAAATGGTGACACGAAGAGCAAGAGAGAGAAACATGAATGTTACTGAATTATACCACTCTTGCCTTGTTTTAAAAGATACTTGAGACTGGGTAATTTATAAAAAAAAGAGGCTTAATTGGCTCAAGATTCTACAGGATGTATAAAAAGCATAGTGCTGGCATCTGCTTCTGCGGAGGCCTCTGGGAGTGTACAATGATGGTGAAAGGCCAAGTGGGGGAACTTGCCTGTCACATGGCCAAAGCAGGAACAAGAGAAAGTTGTTGAGGGGTGGGGTGGGGGGAGGGGGGAGGGTAGCAGGTGCTGCACACTTTTAAATGACCAGATCTTGTGTGAATTCATGGCAAGAACTCACTTATCATCAAAGGGATGGCCCAAGCCATTCATGAGGAATCCGACCGCATGATCCAAACACCTCCCACCAGGCCCCACCTCCAACATTGGGAATTATATTTCAACGTAATATTTGAGCAGGGACGAACATTTAAACTATATGAGTTACCTTGTATAAGTCCTTCAATTTAGAAAAACTGGATGTCAAAATAGGATGCATCCTTAGCTTTTGACTAAGGTGTAAAGACTGGATGGTATGTTCCAAGGTGAGTGGGTTTAGTTAAACAACTTATACATATTGAGGCTATAAGAGGTTAAGGTGATTGGAGACGACAAAATTTCTTTGTGTAGAACTCTGATTCCTAACCAACCTGGGAGGGGTGAGGGGCATGGGATGAGTGAGTTTTCCTCACTTCAGGTCTACTGAGGGGGGCCAGATTCTTTCCTGCATTTGGAAGACACTGTGGACTGATGCCTGGTCTGTGCCAGAGACTATCAAAGAGGGAGATGCTAACTGAAGCTGCTCATGGAAGCACAATAAAGGCTAAATTTTGAAAACAATGCATTTTCCTCCAATAAAGAGCCAAAGGAGATCCTGGGGAACAGGCATGGAATCCATGTCTATCACAAGAATGCTGGCCTGAGGTCACTGAAAATAACATTTTGCCCAAAAAAGTGTCTACCAGAGTACAAGGGGAATCTTGTAGAAACTAAGGGTGAAGCACTGGGTGCAGAAACTGAAGGATACCTGTAGTGGCCAGCTGAAGGAGAGCCTCTACCAGGTCAAGAGAACTATGGTTAGGAAAAGCCAGCAGGAAGTCATCAATGGATGCTAATAGCACCTCAAGTGCTAGAGTAATTTTTAAACATCCACCAGGCCCACGAGATAATTTGTATCAGCAGTTAAGTGTGAAGTTTCCTAAACCTGCCCCAAAACCTGCTTTTTTTTTTTTTTTTTTTTTGCCTCTTCTTGCTCTGAGCCCAGAGGGTCAGAAAAGAGAGTAGTGGCTGCCCCTTGAATCTGGTGAGAGAGCCTCCGAGGGTGCCTCACAGAGACAGTTATGGTTCGTTGCCTGAGTAATCTCAAGGCTAGAGGCTACGGCTACTGGCCTGATGCAGGAGAAAGGGAGAGAGAGAAGATAAAAGACTGAGCTAGAGTTGGGGTTATATATTTGAAGGTCATAGGATGTAGCTGAATGCATGAGACTGTGCAAGATTCCCCAGGGAACTGCTACCGTCCCCCAGAATAGAGGAATACAGATATTGAAGCCGTGAAAAATGCCACCACTTAAATGGTAGAAGTAAAGAAGGAGTTTATTTTAATATAAACGGGTCCTCATCAAGCCTTCCTTTTGGTCAAAGGCCCCCATTTATGAGTTCTCTGCCTGACACCAGGGTTTCAGTCTGTGATCCTGTGAGAGGCCATGAGTAAAAGGCCACCTAGTAGCTAGATCCACAGGCTCGATGTTATCAGTCTGGAGAATTAATGAATGGAGCCATTTAGCCAGAGATGTAAAGGGAAATAGAACTACTATGGAGTGAACTTAGAGTAATTTATTAGTCCTTTGAATCACACTCTCATTTGCTTTTATATATGAATAGTAATACTGCCAGTAATATCTTGTAGAATTCAAGTCAATGATAATAACTTAGTAGCAATAACTACAATTTACTTGTCTATACTTTCCTAGGCCATGACTAAGTTTTTTATTTATTTTTATTTTTATTTATTTATTTATTTATTTATTTGTTTATTTATTTTTGCACAATACTGTTAAGTTTTCCTGAAACAAAGAAGGGGAAAAATGTATTGACCAAGGACACGAATTAGGTCCTGGCAGAGAATTCTTATTTTTCATGCATAGCATCAGTGAATAGTTTGTTCCAGCCTATTAATTATTTAAATAGTTATTATCTATGTTTGTCTTTCTTGCTTGAAATAAAAACTGCTGATCTAAGCTTATCTGCATCTTAACATCTTTTAGCAATACAGAGTGTGTACAAAACCTTTTTTTGGCAGAGCAGAAAGAGGAAGATGAATCTTACTATGAGCCAAGAAGCTGGCAGCATGTCCGTCATTTTTACATGAATTCTCCTTTAATTATGACAACGAACTTGTAAAAATAGATGTCTTACCTTTACTTTATAAATGAAGAGACCAAGGTCACTAAGTTATTAAGTGGCAAGACTCTGGCTATAATTCCAATGTCTGATTCTAGAACCTACAATGTAAAATATAGGCCCTCTATTCTTTCCATGATACCATCAGAAAATGCTTTATATATCATTTCTCATTTTATTTCTCCATATGCTAATGAAGTAGATAAGAATTAAATGCTGTATTGCCAATTTTACAGACTGAGCATTTGTTGAACTGAACATAAGAGTCAGTCTAGGGAATCCAATGAGCCAATAAATTTTAACCCAAAGAAAAGTAAATGTGATCTGAAATGTATTCTATTTTGAACCATGATTCCCTTGTTGTAGTATGCTGAAAACATGTCCTCCTCTGCAAAAATTAATTTACTTATTAATGCCTGGAACCTATGAGTATTATCTTATTAAGCAAATGCATTTTACTTTCTGTGGCAAAATATATGATTAAGTTAAGGGTCTTAAAAGTCAGAGTTTATCCTGGATTAACTGGGTAAACCCTAAATGCAATGACATATTTTTATAAAAGACAGACTGAAAGAGATTTGAGACAAACTGTAAAGGAGAAGAGACACATATGTCAAACATATGTGCCCAAAAAGCTATTTCAGAATGAGACAATAGAATGGAGATCGATTAATAAAAGAAAGATAAAAGAGCACTTTATGTAGCTGAACAAAACCAAAACTTTTAAGTAGAAAAGTGTCCCCAGGATTTTTAAAAACCATACTAAATTTCAGGACAATAGTTAAAAGAAAATCCTAAAAACTTCTAGAGTGGAAACATATTTCTCCTACAAAGGTAAAAAATGGATTTTTATTAGACTTTTCTAGATTCCAGAAGATAATGAAAATATGCCTTAAACCATTCTTAAGGAAAATAATTTTGAATCAAGAATTCCACTTCAGCTAAATTTGTGCATAAGTGGAAAAGTTAAGTGGATAAGTTAATTTCTCTCTCTCACATGCACTCTCAAAAATATAATTACTCAGGGAAACCCCTTGAAATAGCAACTGAAGATATGCCAGTAAAACAGATAAATCCAAAAAGAACACAAGGGAAAATAAAACAGTGGTATACAATAAAACAAATAAAAATAAAATTATATTGTTACAACTATGTAGTTGTCAATGTATAGTAAAAAAAAAGCAACAACATGGAGCTAACAAAGGAAGTGGCAGGGTATAGAGAAAGAGAATTACAAATATGATAATGTTATTGTTTAATTCAAGAGGAGGTTATAATACTAACCCTAGATATTGAGGGAAATAAATAAAAATAAAACTTTAAGTGTAGCCATCAAAGGGCACATAGAAAACCATCAAACCATTAAAGGAAAGAAAAATACAACAAAATTTGATTAGTCAATTCTAAAAAAGGTATTTAAAAAGGGGAAAACCTCCAAGCAAACACAGTAAAAAGAAAATAAGATGCTAAGAATACCAATGTATCTTCAATCACAATAAATGTGAATGGATTAAATTTTCACATTGAATCATTCAGGACATAAGCACGGGCAAAGATTTCATGATGAAGACAACAAAAGCAAAAATTGACAAATTGGATCTAATTAAACTAAAGAGCTTCTGCACAGCAAAATAAACTATCAACAGAGTAAGCAGACAACCTACAGAATGGGAAAACATTTTTGCAAGCTATGCATCTGAAAAAGTTCTAATTTCCAGCATCTATAAGGAACTTAAACAAATTTACAAGAAAAAAAACAACCCCATTAAAAAATGGGCAAAGGACATGAACAGACACTTCTCAAAAGAAGACACACATGTGGCCAACAATCACATGAAAAAAATTCAGTATCACTGATTATTAGAGAAATGCAAATCAAAACCACAATGAGATACCATCTCACACCAGTCAGAATGACTATTATTAAAAAGTCAAAAAATAACAAATGCTGGTGAGGTTGTGGAGAAAAAAAGAATGCTTTTACACTGTTAGTGGGAGTGTAAATTAGTTCAACCGTTGGGGAAGACAGTATGGTGATTCCTGGAAGACCTAGAAACAAATACCATTAGACCCAGAAATCCCATTACTGGTGTATACCCAAAGGAATATAGAAAGTTCTATTATAATGACACATGCACACATATGTTTATTGCAGCACTCTTTACAATAGCAAAGACATGGAATCAACCTAAATGCCCATCAATAATACACTGGATAAAGAAAATATGGCACATATACACCACAGAATACTGTGCAGCCATAAAAAAGAATGAGATTATGTCCTTTGCAGGGGCATGGATGGAGCTGGAGGCCATTATCCCTAGCAAATCAATGCAGGAACAGAAAATCACATACCACGTGTTCTCATTTATAAGTGGGAGCTAAAGGATGAGAACAAATGGACACATGGAGGGAAACAATGCACACTGGGTCCTGTTGGAGGCTGGAGAGTGACAGGAGGGAGACGATTAGGAAAAATAGCTAATGCACACTAGGCTTAATCCCTAAGTGATGAAATAATATGTACAACAAACTCTCATGACACACATTTACCTATGTAACAAATCTGCACATCCTGCACATGTACCCCTGAACTTAAGAGTTTTAAAAAACATTTCCACATTGAAACAGAGGTGTATATTGTACCAAAACTAGTCCAAATAGAGGTTGCTTAGAAACGATATACCAAAAATAACAACAAAAAGTTACTCAATAACCAATCATTCCGATGCTATATAAACCATTTCATGGCAGAGACAAATAAACATTTTTTTACTTCAGTACATGAGGCTTCTGTAATCTATATACAAAAACTAGATAGAGAAATAAAAATGAGAGAGAATTATAAATTTTATTATTAAATAGATGTAAAATCCTTAAATATTAAGAAAAATCTAATAATGTTTTAAAATCAAAATCCTTATCAAATGGTTTAGTCTCAGGAATACTAGAATGGTCAAACATTAAATAATTTCTATTAAAGCGAGTGACCACACTAACAGATTGAAAGAGGAAAAATCATATCATCATCCCAAAAGATTCCAAAGAAGCATTTAATCAAATTAAATACTCATTCTTGATAAAATTTGCAGTAACCTAGAAAGAAGAAAATTTCTCAATGTAAGTGTCTCTACAAGAAAACAAAGCAAAATCACATTGACCCATAAACATTTGGAAGCATTTGCAATAATAAAATATTTCAAATATGTAAAACTAAACCAAATGAGAAACATGTAATACTGATATTAAAAACTATAAATCTTTCCTGAAAGACATAAGAGAAGTCCTGAACAAATGAAAAGGTACTATTTTAATGGAGGGAGAGAGTCAATATTTTAGGTTGACAATTCTCACACATTAATAAATTCAGTGCAACACATACATGATTGTAAAATGAAATTTATGATGATGACTTTAAAACTAATATCCAATAAGAAAATGCAGAAGAATGATAAAAATTTTGAACACAGAAAAAAAATTGATTTAATCACATGCAATTGAAAAATATTGAATTGTCACAAAAATTAAAACCAGGCAGCAGTTTGGCATTATATTTTAAAATACTATTGCAAATATTAAATAGCTGATACAAATAAAATGAAAAAGACAGGGACATAAATAGTAAAAGGAGCAAAGGCCATAAACAGACAATTTACAGAAAAACAAAAATCATCAATAACAGGAAAAGATGCTCATAATATTTTGGGAAATTAGAGTTTGTGAGAGTACTACTGTGAATCAGGCATTCTCATACATTTTTATTTCCAGTAGCATAAACTGGTAAAATGTTTGGGGAGAAATTTGTAAATATTAAAATCTGAAGTGCATGCACACTTCTACCTAGTAATATTTATCTGTGTGCAGGAAAAGACATGTGCAAAGATGTTCATTACAACACTGTTCAAAATAGCAAAAAATTAAAGATAATCTAAATGATCATCATACAGCAATGGGTAAATAAATGATGGTATATTCATATTAGTTGTTCTATGTAACAATTAAAAAGAATGTGGTTTATCTATGTGAACCTACACAGAAAGAAAGACATTAAGTGAACTTAAGGTATGTCTGATGCCATTTATTGAAAATGGACCACATATTTTATGTACCTATGGTAGTGTACAGCAAATTTTATGTAAGGATGTACAGTAATATGTCAACAGTTGTCACCTCTGGAGAAAGTGGGATTGGTGGGAAAGTAGAAAATGGCAGTGAGGTCCATGTTTATTTTTTCTGTAAACATATCTCTATACCTTGAATTTTTCATAACATTATTTTGTAATAAACTAATAATATATACAACTGTGTTTATTTAAATACACACACAAACACATATACACATTACTAAGGAAATCTCTCATTCTTGATAGACAATGAAAAGAAAGAAATGTGCCAGTTCTTCCACTGAGGCCAACTAGAAAATCTGGATAAAATATATTACATATCCACTCATGGATACTAGACAGCCAACATGTTGTTGAATATTTACTAGGCTAGAGGAAGAGAGCTTTTGAGAATTTACTGATTGCAGAGGGCGAGTGTTGAGAGATTACAAACCTGAGTGACATTTTGAGAATCTCATAAAACTAAGGGGCTATGGACTTGAATTCCAGGGACCAACAAAAAGCACAGACCCTGGTGAACTCCTTGACTTTGTCTTGGGATCTTAAAGAGTGGCAGCACTGAACTAAGAGGTAAATAGCACCCCTTCCCAATATGTCAGTAGCTTTGAGTCATCTCATTCACTCATTGTTATGGGCTGAATTATGTCCCCCTGAAATTCATATGTTCAAGTCCTAACCCCTGGTACCTCAGACTGTGACAGTATTTGGAGACAGAGTCTTTAAAAAGTAATTAAGTTAAAATGAAGCCATTAGAGTGAGCCTTAATGCAATGTGACTGGTGTCCTTATAAGAAGAAAAGATTAGGACACAGACACACACAGAGGGAAGACCAGGTAAAGACATAGGAAGGAGAAGATAGCCATCTATAAACCAACAAGAGAGGCTTCAGAAGAAACTAACCCTGCTAGCACCTTGATCTGAGACTTCTAGCCTCCAGAATCATGAGAAAATAAATTTCTGTTGTTTAAGCCACCCAGTCTGTGATAGTTTATTATAGCAGCCTTAGCAAATATATTGACAATCATTCAACTGGATTAAAGTGAATCCTAGATTGCTAGTGCCCCAGGGACCAGGCAGAAACTAATCATGGGAGAGATTTGGTCTCAAATTATTCCTACAAACAAAATGAAATTATTACAATAAAAGTAAAAGTAATCAAGAGATAAGACAATGCAGATGAAAAGCAGCAGAAATGATAAACAATAGAAACTGACTTATAGGACCCCCAGTAGTGCAGTGTTAATACCTAGACTTTAAACTAAGTATGCCCAATATATTCAAGGGTGTAAAATGTAAGACTAGAAATTTCAGTAGAGAATTGAAAACTAAAAAAATAATCAAATACAAATCTGAAAATGAAAAAATAGCCAAAATTAACAACTTAATAGATGGAATTAACTGCAGATTAGAAACAATTGAAGAAAGAATTAGTGATTGAAAGACAGATTAGAAAAAAAAACCCAAAATGAGACACAAGGAGACAAAATGATAGAAAATACAGAAGAATGCATAAGCGATATGCAGGACACAGTTAGAAGATCTGATATATGTGGAATTGAACCAACAGGAAGGAAGAAGAATGGTCCAGAATCAATATTTTGAAAGAAAATGGCTAAAAGTATTCAAACTTTTGTGATGAAAGACATCAAGTCACATTTTCAAGAAGTCCCATGAACTCCAAGCAAGGTAAGTTAAGTGAAATCCATACTTGGAAGTTCTTCTTAAAAATCTTAAAAGCAGCCAGTGAAAAAACATTACTTTTAAAGGAACAAGGCTGATAGCTGAGTTGTCAATAGAAACAATGAAGCCAGAAAAAAGAGTATCTTTAAAGCCCTGGAAGAAAATTACTGACCTAGATTATTCACCTTATGAAAATATCCTTCAAGAATAAAAGTGAAATGAAGACATCTCCAGATGAACAAGAATGGTGATAACTCATCATTAAAGGAAATTCAAAAGTACATTTCAGACAGAAGGAATATGACCCCAAATGAAAGTTTGGAGATGCAGAAATAAATGAAAGACAATAGAAAGGTAATACATAGATAAATAGAAGTAGATGTTGAATGTATAACAATGTCCTTATGGATTTAAAATATGCATAAATTAAAATATATACAAATAAAAAATAAATCTTGACATTTGCAACAACATAGATGGACTTGCAGGACATTTTGTTAAGTGAAACAAGCCAGACATGGAAAGACAAATACCACATGATCTCATTCATATGTGGAATCTGAAACAAGTTGATCTTATTAGAATAATGGTTACCAGGGGCTGGGGTGGTGGTCAAGGAGGGGGTTGAGGAAATGATCCAAGGTTACAAAATTTCAATTAGATAGAATAAGTTCAAGAGATATATTGTACAACATGGTGACTATATAATAAACAATGATACATTGTATTCTTAAAAAATGCTAAGGTTTAAAATGTTCTCACCACAAAAATGACAACCGTGTGAGGTAATGCATATGTTGCTTGGCTTGGTTTGGCCATTGTGCAGTGCTTATGTGTTTCAGAATGTCATGCTATATACAATTTAATCTGTCAATCTGAAAATTTAAAAATATAAAAATAACTATACATATATAGAGAGAGCATATATATGTATATGCTGAAAATCAATGCATTAAACATCTACCTTTTGAAAGTAAGAAAAACCCAGTAAATTAAACTCTAAGAAATTAGCAGGATGTAATAATAAGAACAAAGATTAATAAAATAAAAATTAACAATAAAGAGAATAAAAAGGCCAAAAGTTTTTTTGAAAAGACTACTAAAATAGAGAAACACTTGGAAAGACTGATTTTTAAAAAGGAAGATACAAATAACCAATGTCAGGAATAGTAAGTAGGAAGGGACCTCACTATATATTGTACAAATAGTAAAAATGTAGTTAAGATGGCATTGTGGACAATATTATGACAATAAAATTGAAATATAAATGCAATGAACATACCAGAAAAATTCACCTTACCAAAAACTGACACAATAAGAAGTAGAAAATATGAATTTTAAAAATTACTTTCTTTAGGGGGTACTTTGTGTTAGATACAAATTAACTGAAATTATCCCCTTTGTATATGCATGTAGCAGCTCCACAGAGGGGTTTGTGCTTGTAAAATCAAGTATGGTTCTACATAGAGAAAGATGAAGGTATTCTACCTTACATTTCCTTTCAGTCTACATTTAAGAAACTTTCCCATTCATGCTGTTCAACCTGTGCATAAAGTGGACATGAAACCTGTCCTGCCCTTCTTTCTGCATAAATACATGCTGATTGTAGACTGGGTTCAGGCAGAGTTACCAAAACCTTGGCAGGAACGAGGAAGGGGGAATGTTCATCCAAATAAATACTCAAGTGTGTGTCTTATTCTTTCCACTTTCCATAGATTGAAGCTAAGGCAAAGGAATGACTCTAAGCATCATCACAGAAGGAGATTATGATGATAGTTTGTTTAATGATAAGTAATTTCTGATTACCTATCCGAACACTGTTGGAAAATATATTTTGCCTGTTTTTGTGCTTTTGTAAGAATATTTCTTATTAAATTAATCACAATGTTGCTGAAACTGAACAGACATTTCACATACTCAATGAAGTAAACTGTGGATTTCAAAAGTTTACTAAGAAATAGCAAAATAGGCAGAAAGTAATCACAGTCTATAAAATGACACTGGAATTGCTCTACTAATAAACAGCATGAGTTATTCTTCCCACAGTATGAAGGAACTACCATGCTTAGATCTTTATTTTAAAACTCAGCTAATAGATATATCAGTAGAAATAATAAAATAATAAAACTACTGTGTAATAAGTGAAATAATACAAAATCAACCAAAGCTTGTATTCCTGAGAAATTGGTAAGCTTCTTCTCTTTTCTATGATGTGATCATCTCATGTTTTGCTTTTTGCTCAAACGTACAGAGAACATAGAGAAAGGTTTGAGACTCATGTTCAGAAATCTGATTAATCCTTGTAGCCAATATATGACTTTCCTGCTATCTTCTGTGATACTGATGTTCTCTGTTTATTTGTATTTTATTATTTTTTTAAAAAAAATTACAGTAGCTCTATCTTGCTGGAAGGTGCTTCAATGTGAATACATCATGTATAAATGTGAAACAACAAAGTAAAAATTGTGACATTATAAGAGAGGTTTTTCAGTAAAATTCAAGTAATTTATTTTATTTATCTAGATTATCCATTATATTTTATTGACAAAATTCAATTACTGGCTTCTAGGTTTATACCTATTGCCAAAAAGAAGCTCTCTGTGTATATATGCTAAATTGTTAAGTTGTAGCCCCTTGTATATAAAGCAAAATTTTCAATGTTTATCAAAATGTATGCAGAAAAAAAATCTGTTCTTTTTCTTCACGTAATAACAATGTCTTCTCAGCAACAATTCCTATAGTCCATAGTGCAATGATCCAAGCCTTCAAGGAGAGGCAGTGAGAAATGAGCCCCTCATTAAATGTTGCCTGTTGGGCTAGTTAGTTCACCTTGAATACACATGACTGGTGGCCAGCAAGGAATTGTCTGTTAATTTAATTTTTTATTTGCAGACATTTATACATGTTGCCCATTTTATGATAGCTCATCTATATACCAATCACTCAAGTGGACTAACTCTTAAGACTGACAGAGGGTATGAGTAAATGCACATGGAAATCGACAAGTGAACAGGCTGACAAATTCAGAACTGCAAACACACAGCTTCCATTTACTCAACTGGAGCCATGTTTACAGATCAGAGCTCAGATATACATAAGACTCCTTTGGAAAATGTCATTAAGCATTTGCCTCTCCATTCCTAAAAAGATCTTGTTTATTCAGTGGTAAAGGGAAATATGTCAACTATAATAAAAATGGTTATAGCCTCATTTTTCAGCTGAATTTCCCACTATGGAAAGGGCTTAATTATTAGCAAAAAGCTCTGCTACCCAGGAGCTTTCCTCCTGTCCAATGTGACATTACTCACTCTCCACCCACAGCCCAATGGAAAATTATAATGAGCAAAGCTGGGGAAGGCAGCAGTGTAACTAAATTCTGCAAAACAATCCTCTTGAGTTGATTGCCTCACCCTTTCCTCTTTAGCAATATGCAAAACCATGAAACCAACCCACCACAGATGATATTTGTGAGGTCTATCACTCGGTGAGTTGGGTGCTATGAAATGTGTGTTACAGGAATAGTCCACGTTTGAATAGGGCTTAACTTCTTTAATAATAACAATAATAATGGAATATACCATTTGCCAAACAGTATGCTAGGTGTCAAACATAGAATATCATTGAATCCTTTAAACTACCTTACAAAGAGTGCATTATTTTAATCACCATTTTACAAGCTAGGTGATTTGCAGTTAAGTCTATGTTTCCTAGCACAACTCTCTTTCCATTCACCTACAGGACTCTCCTATTGAGTTTGCTGCATGGTTTTACCTGTGTGATGCTGTCGGTGAGATCTAGTCTGGTGAGTGTGTGTGTGTGTGTTTGGTGTCTTCTATGCTGTTTGAGCTGCATAGGAAAGCCTTCACCCCTCATTTGCCATACTGCCCCTGGTTCACAAGAAATTGTGCCCTACCACATCACAGCTCTTTTCCTAAGGATCCTGATGCACTTCATGGTTTTCTTGTGACTACAGCATAATTCAGTCATCCACAGGCCTTAGGATGTGCCATTGTGTAGAATATGACCCTCATGAAAACAAGAAATCTCTGAAGAGTGTCAGAGAAACTCTACATCAGAAGATGCACACTGGCTGACTGTGATTTAAATCTTGCTTGTAGATGTATTTCCTTGACCAACACAGGGGTTCTTTGTCTGCGTTTTGGGAAACAAAAATATTCAACTTTTACAAAAAAATCAAAGATTTCGTGTAAAACCTGACTTGCACCTTTTCTTGAAAAACCAAGAGCTGATAACACTGTGTCCTTTTTCTGCATGACAACTGTATCTTCCTTTAAAAGGGCATACACTCTGGTCTACTACAGGACCTTTCTCCCATAAGTCTGTATTTGCATCTATACCTAGCATTGCTCGATGATTCTCATTGCCCACTGGGCAGGCATTGTGAGTTTGCTGATTCCTGCTTTGCTTGAATCATGACTCCCATCATCTGAAGCACTGTTAGCAAGGCATCTGTTGACAGCCAATTTGCCAAGACTGCCTTTTTCTGTTCTCAGTGTGTGGTGATGCCATGTGTGACTTTTTTTTTTTTTTTTTGGTCCTCTTTGGCTATGTTGAGTACTTCCATTACCCACAACTAGCAAAACCCAATTCCACTTAACAGTCAAGAGAATGCAGCTAACCACTCCCTGAAGCTTCTTCACCCCCAAACTTCCTTAGAGTGTATATGGAGGAGCTTAATGGAATGGTGAGAATCTCTAAAGATACCCAGGAAGTGTGATTCCTGCTTCAGAACCTTGAGGGCACTGGTTTCACTGAAATGAAGACTCACTTCCTATTTATTTTTCCTACTCAGTTGCAAACCATCTGGTAAATCTTAATTCTTTCTCCCAAACTGAGGAGAATGACCCGAAGTGGAGAGAGTAAGGAACTGTCAATTTATCCTGCAACATTTCAATGCTGTGTTTAGTGATAGCTCCCTTGCATTTCAATTCAACCCATATTCATCAAGCGCCTTCTATGTGTAAAGGACTATGCCCTGCAGAGTGGCTGCGGATCACACCCCATGTTTTTAAAGCACTTTGATATACATTATTTTATGTAATCCATATATTAATCCAATGAGATGGGTCTTCATTATGCCCATTTTACAGATAGTGGTCCCTAGGCTGAGAAGGATCTTATCCAATATCATTGTGAGAAATAAATAAAGAGCAAAACCAAGGTTTGAACTCAAGGTTTGGGGCTCTATTTCAGTACAGTACCTAGAGTTTTAATACTATCTTAGACCATATTAGTTTAGAGGAAATGGTCTCATTGACAGAAGAAAAAAATGATTCTCTAGCTTCTTCCAGTTTTCTACGGTATATGAGATGGAAACACAAGTATTGATGAAAAGATCCTCTCTTCTACCAGCTATATTCTGTTCTTTA
The DNA here is from genome assembly GCF_000001405.40 of Homo sapiens. Taxonomy (NCBI): domain Eukaryota; kingdom Metazoa; phylum Chordata; class Mammalia; order Primates; family Hominidae; genus Homo; species Homo sapiens. The sequence continues at coordinate 68,002 of NT_187578.1, forward strand.
ATTTGTATTTGGGTTTAATTTATTTAATTTTCTATTTTCTAGTTCTGGCTGCTGGTAAGAGGAAACTACTAATCTAGAAAAGGGAGCCTCAACATTGTAACTGCCGCTGCAGCACACCATTATTAGCATAGATCCTAATATTTGGGATGAAGCAAATACACGGAGCCAGCATTGCAGGTGCCATGGAAGTTTCACTGCCCTCAATATTGCTGACACTCATTACCATGGGCATGCAGCAGTACAGTTGCTGCTAGTTATCCCTGCCAGTCATGGACAGTGTGGGGACACTGGTAACACTGATTGCCAAAGCAGGGCTGTGCTCCCTGGTGCTCTGTATACACCCATGATGTGCTATTCTTTGGGAGTGCGCACAGAGATAAGGTGATTTGGTTTGGTGGAAGTGGTGATGGGATACTCCACAGCCAAGAGTTCTTCTCTATGAGACCTACAAGAGGCAAGAAACAGTGGTGAGAGTCCTTCTGCTTCTCTATGTCCTGGCCAGTACAATTCACATTCACTTAGAATCAGGCACGCCTGTGGACTAGCAGAAGGCAGCAGTAACATTTTTCCTGAAATGAAACATCTCCTAGGAGTTAGGCATTTACTGTCTTATTTTATGCTCTAATTCTAATATGGAAGCACAGCTATTTATATGCCATTAATTTATTCATTTAACAAACATAAGTGAAGTACTTATTGTGTACCAGGTAAGAGACATAACTCCTATTTTCAATTTGTTCACAGGCTATAAAAGGAATCACATATTGTCTTAGTCTGTTTGTGCTGCTGTAACAAAATACTTGAAACTGGATAATTTGTAAAGTACAGAAATTTATTTTCTCACAGTTCTGGAAGCTGGGAAATCCAAGATAAAGGTGCCGGCACCTGGTGAGAATTTTCTTGTTGGGTCCTCACATGGTGAAGGCAGAAGGGCAAAAAGGGGAGGAATGCTATATTCTCAAATGGTGGGAGGGTAGAGGAGAATGAACCCACTCTCAAGCCCTTTTATAAGATCCTTAAACTTATCCATGAGGGCTCCATTTTCATGACTTACTAAACACCCTACCTCTTAATATTATCACAACGGTGATGAAAAGTTTCACCGTGAATTTTGGTGGGGATGAAAATAGTCAAACCACAGCCATTTATAAATATGTAGTTACAATACAGTATGAGAGGTTCTAGGATACAGGTACTCAGATGGTTGTGAGAACACTGAGTAGGGGTATTTTATTTCCCCTCCTCTATTTTGGGGGATTCAGAAACATTTTCTGAATGAGGGTATATCTGAGCTGACACCTGAAGGACAGAAAAGACTTAAGCAGACATGACGGGGTAAGTCACAGCAGCATGTAAGAGGTGCTGATAGAAGAAAACTTGGCACATTTGGAATGGCTTGGAGGTGACAAGATTTGGGTGGGTTGTGAATGGTGAAGTTTGGGGCAGATATATCCTTGGTCAAGATCATGAAGGACCTTGAGCATCAGCCTGGGAAAACCCTTGAAAAGTTAAGCCAGTGAGTGACATGATCACATTTTAGATCCCTTCTAGATGCAGAATAAAAGATGAACCTGCCGAGGAGGACAAATCAAGAACACTTCCTCTTTCTCTGGGAAGTTGACGCTTATGAACTGGACAACTTTGGGAGGTGTGGGGAAGGACAGAATACCAACAAAGCCAGTCACATCGGTCTGGCAAGCAGAGGGGTGACAGCTGTTCCAGGCATTCTTGCTGACAACCCCCGCAGTGCAGGAGCCCTTGGGATGAGAGGCAGCTTCAGTCTGCCTGAGTGCCATGGGATACCTTACCAACCATGCAAAGCTGTGATTTGGCACATGTATCCACCAGGCCTGGGAGGAGCAATGCCACTGTCAACTTCAGGAGCCTAGAAAAGCTGACAGTAAAGAGAACTCAGACCAGCCTTAGCTGGATATTGACAGCAGCAGTGGTTATAGAGTTGGGCTGGGCCTGAGGCCAAATGAGTTGGCAGGGTCTCCCTGGCCTCTGCCTTGCCCCACTCAGCTCCATCTGTCTAATGGTGGGTGTCAGCCTTGAAAAGTGCCAGCCATCGATTCTGGCAATTCAGGAAAGGAGAAGAGGACACATAAGATATATGCTTATAAGTGAAAGACTGCTAAAATGTCCTGGGCTAGAAACCAGTCACAGTGTGGCCATAGGGATCCTTTACACACTGTCCTCGTCCTTTGCCTGCTTTCCCTTTTGTTTACCATTTTTATTCTTACAGAGATGCCCAAATGAATGTGTCGATAAAGACATTTTCAATGGGGCCAGAGAAAGAAAATCTAATTCAAAATGCCTTAAGCAAAAAACGAATTAACTGTTCAAGTAACTGAAAAGTCCACTGATATTTTAGGGCATAGTAGGATTAGGGATTCAAAATTGTGTTAAAGTTTCTCTTCTGTCATTCCCAGCCTTACAGCATTTTAACTGCTTAGCATCCTAGTATAAAAGAGGCTTTTTTTTCCCATTGGAACAAAAGTTCTGAATTTTAATCTAATTTTCCTGTTTTGGAAAATGACTAGAGCAATGGGAAACTCTGGTTAACTAGGCTGGAATTCTATGCACATGCTTGCAGCGGGGAGGGGTTTTTCAATCCCACTCAAAACAAATGGATTAGTTGTTGGAGAATGGTGCTTTCTTAGAGGAAATGAGGAAATATGGATAGCATTACTGGCCAAAAGGGGAAAATTACAAACCAAAACAACAGACACTTCACTTTATTGAATCTTTGGCTTACCAAGTTATGTGTACTAAAGGTGATTAATTCCGATGAAGGTTATCTGTTGATGATGATAGTATAATTGGTAATTAATGATGATTAATTATGATTGGTATTTTATGAAGAGATTTGTATAGTTTGGTATATTGTTGAGTAATTTTCCTGAGACAGTTTTCCTAGTTAGGAGAGTGGTTTAGACACTTTGCTAAGTTAATGTATCATTTACCATTAAAAGTGCTGTGGAATTATCCAAGGGCTAGGATCCATGGTCTTAAAACATTTCAGTTAAATGACTTAAAATCATAACTCATATCTATATCAAAGTTAGGTGGTTAACATAAAATATTCATGTGACTATAGTATATTATTCCAGCAACACCTTAAGATTGTTTCTAGCTAAGTCCCGGAGGCTTTTCCTTTATACTTTTCATGAAATTGTTATTTTAACAAATACATTTGTAAATTGAAAATAACATAAATATACAAAGTCACAATATTAGGCATGATTTGTTCAGAGCACTGTCTGGAGGTCCTGACCTCAATTTCATTGATTATGTTGGCACAAACAATACCTATTTGTTAAATAAAAGAAGAATGAATGAATGACTATCATAGTCTAATTCCTATAGGAAAGTTAAAAAATATATATATATAGGTACCAAAATCCATTTGTAGATCCTTATCACCCCAGCTTGGGATGATACTTGGGATGTTAGCCTTGAGAAAAGAAAGAAAAAAAATCATGAAACATTTTGAAAAAAGAATTGTCCTGTCAGAGTGACAAAATATGATAACTGGTTATAATAAGAGGCCAAAGATGACCTCAAGTTTTTAAGATGGGAACTTAAATGTTGTTTTGTTGGGTGGGAAACATGAATGTTGTTGCTGATGATAGCTTCTGTTTACTAAGTGTCAATTTCTTGTCAGACATCTTTTGTGTTATCTTATTTCTCATGATTTAGTAAGATAAATTACTTTCCATATTTTATATATGAGAAAACAGGCTTAGAGTATCTTGCCTATGGGCATGTAGCTAAAACATTCCCTGACAGAGCTGGAATTCAACCCAATGTCAGCCTAATATCCTGTTTTTACTAGATTATGGGTATCATCAATATAATTCTTTTTGAGAGGGAAAGCTTGCTGGGAGGGAGCAATTGAAGGAGTGAACTACATTTATTTTTCTAATTTTAAAAATTGTGGTGAAATACATGCAACATAAAATTTACCATTTTAACCATTTTTAAGTGCAGCCATCACCATCATCCATCTTAAGAACATTTTTCATCTTCCAAAACTGAAACTCTACCCATAAGTAATAACTCCCTACTCCCTGCTACCTGCAGCCTCTGGTAACCACCATTCTACTTTCTGTTTATATGAATTTGATTATTCTAGGTACCTTACATAGGTAGAATCATACAGTATTTGTACTTTTGTGACTGGCTTAATTCTCATAGTATTCAAGGTTTATAGCATGCATCAGATTCTCCTTCCGTTTAAAGGCTGAATAATATTCCATTGTATGTATATGTATATGCTACATTTTATTTATCCATTCATCTGTCAATGGACACTTGGATTTCTTTTACATTTTGGCTATTGTGAATCCAAGTCCCTGTTTTCATTTTTAGGGGTATATACCCAAAAATGGAATTGCTGGAACTTATGGTAATTCTATGTTTAATTCTTTGAAAAATGATCATAGTGACTGCACCATTTTATATTCCCACCATTGGACCAAGGGTCCCAGTTTCTACAAATCCTTGTCAACACTTATTTCCTGTTTTTTTGTTTTGTTTTGTTTTGTTTTTTTAAATAAAAGCTATCCTAATGGGAGTGAAGTGGTATTTCATTGTGGTTTTGATTTGCTTAGTGATTTTGAACATTTTTTTATGGTGAAAAATTGGCCATTCATATATCTTCTTTGGAAAAATGTCTATTCAACTCCTTTGCCCATTTTTTAATTGGGTTGGTTTTTTTCCTGTTGTTGAGTTGCAGTTCTTTATACAGTCTGGATATTAATACCTTATCAGACATATGAGATATATGGTTTGCAAGTATTTCCTCCCATTCCATGGGTTGCCTTTTTACTCTGTTGATAGTGTCCCTTGAAGGTTTTAGTTTTGATGTAGTCTAATTTATCTGTCTCTTCTTTTGTTGCCTGTGCTTTTGGTGTCATATCTAAGAAATCATTGCCAAATCCAATATCATGAAGCTTTTCCACTCAGTTTTCTTCTAAGAGTTTTGTAGTTTTTGCTTGTGTTTAGGTTTTTGATCCATTTTGAGTTGATCTGTGTATATGGTGTGAGTGTCTAACTTCATTATTGTGCCTGTTGGCCACAATATTTGTTGAAAAAACTGTCTTTTCCCCCGTTGAATGGTCTTGGCAACTTTGTCAAAAGTAATTTTGACCATATATGTGAGGGTTTATTTCTGGGTCCTCTATTCCAATAGTCTACATGTCTGTCTTTAGGCCACTACTACCCTATTTTGTTTAGCTTTGTAGTAAGTTTTGAAATCAGGGAGTTTGGGACCTCCAATTTTTTTTTTTCTAAATTGTCTCTTTTTCTAATTGTCTCGGTTATTTGGGTTCCCTCAAATAACCTTGAGATTTCATATGAATTTTAAAATGGATTTTTCTATTTCTGCAAAAAAGATGTTGGAATTTTGATAGGGATTGCATTGAATTTGTAACTCAGAGTGAAATTTGAGTGAAATTTTTAGATAAGCTGAATTTCATAACTTGGACTGAATGTGGAAAAATGCTCAGACAGCAGCTCAACTTGTGTGAATTCAACTCAGAAGTGTTGCTCCTATACTGGGGCCTGTATAAGAATATATTTGTTTTATTGAGGTTGAGTTTATCTTTAGAGGCAGTTTTCCTAAGGTGCTAGTTATAATTAGAATATATTTACCTGCCCCATTTTAATAGGAGTATCATGCTCACACTATTGTTTTTATTTTCCTTTACAATATTCCTCTCACTGAACTTTTAGGGCTACAAAAGTTGGTTTTAGGTTAAAAATAGTATAGTTGCCCTTGCTTCCACTATTCCATGTGGAAAACACAGCCAATTGCCTTACAAAAAGGAAAAAAATAATTTTCCGAATACATTCTTAAGATAGTGTGAAAGCCACACTCGCTGATGAAGAGCCCCTAAACTGACAACAGACTAAGATTTCCTGCACAGATTTCATGGTTCTTATTATTTTCCTACAGGCAGGACAGAAAGAAAGATTGAAGTTCCTTCTACTGAATACATTACTGATGCCAGAGGTGAAGTGTGGAAAATGAAGAATTAGACTCAGGGTTGGCAATCTATAGCTTGTTGGCCAAATCCAGTCCACCACCTGTTGTTGTTGTTTTTTTTTAATACATTGGAACACAGCCATTCTCATTCTTTTATTCATTGTCCATGCCTGTAGAGCAGAGTAGTTGTGACAGAGGCCATATGGCCCACAAAGCCTAAAATATATACAATCTGGTGCTTTGCAGAATAAGTTTATTGACCCCTGGACTAGACTATTAAAAAGTGAGGATTGAGGGCTGGGTGTGGTGGCTCACCCCTGCAATCTCAGTATTTTGGGAGGCTGAAGCGGGTGGATAGCTTGAGGCCACGAGTTCAAGACTAGCCTGGCCAACGTGGCGAATCCCTGTCTCTACTAAAAATACAAAAATTAGCCTGGTGTGGTCACGCATGCCTGTAATCCAAGCTTCTCAGGAGGCTGAGGCACAAGAATTGAACCTAGGAAGGGGAGGTTGCAGTGAGCTGAGATCCTTCCACTGTACTCCAGTCTGAGTGACAGAGCAAGACTCTGTTTCAAAAAAAAAAAAAAAAAAAAAAAAAAAAAAAAAAGGATGATTGAGTAATTTAGTTCACTTCTCTCATTTTAAAGATAATAAAAATAAAGACATATGATTTATCAACCACTGGGAGTGAATGGTTCCATGTTGGCAGCATGGAACAGACTGAGAAAAAGAGATAGATGGGCTTTTGCAAACCTATCTCTCCTGGATTAGGGCAGAGTCCACAGAAGGGAAAATCTAGCAGTAGAATATCTACAAAATGTAAAGTCCAAGAGAGGTTGAATCACAATTCTCACATTTCCCAATGAGGCTTCTGAGAGGGATAACTGGGATGGCACCACGAGGTGGAATCAAACAGTGGTGGAATCAGTGATAGGTATCTGGGTCCTACTTGGGCAGACATGGAAAACTAGGTGGGAGTGGAGCTCCTAGTGTTGCTGGAGCAACACATGTGCATAGATCCTGGGGGCTGGGCCATATGAGGCATTAACCCAGGTTATAAACCACGGTATATGAAGAAACCTAGAAATCAGAGCATATGAAATAGCAACAAGCATTAGGTCCAAGGTGGGTGAGATGAGTCCATAAATAACAAAGAGATTCTTGAGATCTGTATCAGTCAGGGTCCCAGCAAGAAACATAAATCACCCTAAAATTAAGATAAAATTAAGATAATCTGAGGAGAGTACCAGAGTTGGTCTGTATGATTGAAAAAATGTGGCAGAAGTGATGGCCTGTTACTTCTGAGATTAGGCTATAAAAGACTGCAGCTTCTATTTTGGGATCTCTCTTTCTCTGATGATCATTCTTAATAAACTCCTTTATTAGGTGCATGAATTAATGAAAGATAAAAGATAAACAGGATGCCGATCCCCTGGTCCTCTCATCCTACTTTCCCTGTCTCAGAGTAGTTTTGATCAGAGATGAGACTGTTCATAGTTAAGCCTTCCTCCACCCCACAAACTCCTCATCACCCAAATTCCCATCCATGAAGACAGAACCAACTTCTTACTAGACCCTTACATGAAAACAGAACCAGCTTCTTACTAGACCCTTTCATTCAAGACAGCTATAGTAGAAATGCTGGGGGTAAAGTTCTGGGGGTGGTCCTTTTTGCTTTTTGGATTTTCTTGATGACAAAAAAGAGTTCTAACCATGATTTACCCAAATATTTTGTCCTACTTAGGGGCAAAGTTTAATACATTAGAACATTATTCTGGTGGATTAGTTTGGCCAGCATGAATCTATCCTTTGAATAATAGTACACTCTGAGCCAAAACTAATTCGCTTTCTAAACCAGAAAAATTAGAATGTGCTTAATATATATGTTTCCATGGGGATAAAAACTATCTACAGAAGCCTGATTTGCTTTTCTCATCTCAACTCCCATTTATAGATAATCACACACAAAACAGTGTCTACTGACTTCATCATCTATAAGGAATGCCAAGTATCATGGTACTTGGTAGTCTATTTCAAAGTCAACGTGTTACCAACATAAATTCACTTTTGGCAATGTATTTATTCATTTACTCCTTAAACATTTACTGAACAGATACATCTTTCTTATTTTCACAAGGCGCTAGGTGCATAAAAAAGAAATAAACTCTGCTCTTGAATGACTTACATCCAACCTAGGGGGGACAAGTCAGATATAAAAAAAGAACTTGATGTTAAGAGTTACAGTAAGAATATATGCAAAGGGCTATAGGGATAGTCTTGTAATAGTTTTTGATAGTTCCAGAAACACTTTGATTCTTGGAATAAGAAACCACTAGTTTAGCCTTTATACTAATGGCCTGACATTTTTATTGAACCAGAAAAGATTGCTATATATAAGAAATTTCTACAGGAAGAAAACATTATATATTTATTTGTCTTATTAGAGTGATTTTTGAAAAGAACCAAAATTATAGGTAGGATACAATTCAAATGGAAATGGTGTATTTCCTATTTCTTAGAAAATATTCAGAGCAGAATCTTTGCACATGCTATATCATGACAGAGTTATGTTACTTCACCTATATATAACCTAATGCAATTTTCATATAGTTTTCTTAGAAAACTATATGTAAACATAAAGAAAACTATAAGAAAATACAGTTTTCTAAGAATCCAGACACCTCAATAGCTTCCATAACTTGGGAGAATTTAATGTTCAGTCCTTTCATCTATTACTTGTTTTTATTAATTATAGAATTTTTTTGGATATTATGTTTTGAATAGCTACTTCTATTTAAAATTTAATAGCTAGTTTTCTTTAAAAATATAAAATTTCATATATAAAATATGTAATAAAAATATAATAAAATATATAATTTAATATATATAATATTAAAAAATATATAATTTCATATATATCCAGGCAACAATGCTGGGTTATTTTGCTGATATAGGAAATAAGGCCATTAGGTATGTTGCTTGGTTGGTAGAAGGAAGTACAAAGTTTAGGGATTATTCTTTAAGTAGAGCAGATGAGTATTAAGTCTGAAATCTGTGATAAAGGAGCATTAAAAATACTGGCAGCCACTGAAATTCTTACCATTAATTTATCTCAAACCATCTGCAGATGTGTGCATATTAATTGGCTTTGGGCATTTTGTTACCTAGGAGGAGTAACACATATGATAGCTAAAATTAGAAGGCAGGCAAAAAAAAAAAAAAGTGAAAATACAAAGCTTGGTATTCCAATGTAGGTGGGGTGTTATAGCAAGAGACCCTGCCAGGCAGGAGTCCTTAATCACTGTGAGACATGAGTGGCAAAAAGTGCTTGAGGCATGTTACTGAAAGACAAAGCTATCTCACACTTACGTCTAGATTTGTGGGTGGAAGGGTGAGAGTTGGAGCTATTCCCCATTCACACTGCCACACATCTTTGTAGCATGCTTTTCATTACATGGATTTGAATACATCAGTGATCAGGGTGATGAGTGAGGGGGCGATGGAGGAAGCCAGAAGGAAAAACTGGAAGGCTTTTGGCTTTAATCTGCTTTGCTTGTTTAAGCTAAGGAAAAAAGAGCTTCTTAGCCTTTTTAAAAAAATAAACTATCACAATAATGAAAATATTAATAACCAAAATAAGAGCTACAGGTTATGCAGAGCTTGTTAGGCAGTAGGCACTATGTTAAGTGCTTTATGTACATCATCTCACTTAATGTCCCTGTGTTTTCCCTACTGTCCCCAAACAGTAAAAATCTCTTCCAGAACTGCTCATTCACCATCTCCTAGCAGACACACCATAAAGAGATTTCACTTTATTTGCAATTCTGCATTTAAAAATTCTCCTTCACCCTTCACCTTGTTGGAGCTACTTTCTGCTTTGAGATGGCGAACAGGTCCATCTGCTTAGAGATGGTCCCTAAGCATTGAGGGGAGTGGTATCCCTTTCCCTCTCACCCAAGGCCAGGCTCAGATAGAGTGGGCTTCTTGGCCAGGCAACCCTGGATACTTATCATTGTAGGAGGAAGTGCCTTAGAATTGTCTCCTATTGAGTGAACTGTAAACCCCAGCCCCTCTTAGTTCATGAATTCAAAGCCGTCACTCACCTTGTGCTTACGCACCAGGGCAAAGAGAATGGCTATCTTGCCTCAAGGAAGCAATTGGCCCTACCAATACTAACACCTTGCAATTCTAGTGAACACTGTTTACTGTTCTGAGGGGAACGTGACAACAAGGCAGATCTATCTTGGATGCCTTCCAAGAAGCCGAGCACCAAAGGGAAGTCCTGATATAAACAGGCATGGAAGGAGGAGCTCCAAATACCCTACATGGTTCACTATAGAGGCTTTGCTGCTCTTCAGGAGAACCTGATCTCCCCTACCTGGTGGATGGAGACTTACTCTCACTTGTCCTTTAAGCAAAGAGATGCTGCAATTCTACTTCTTTCAAGGATCTACTGAGAAAATAAACCTGCCACTACACCCAGGGCACTTTCTCTTTTTAAGAACTTTCCTTTTTTTCTCTCCTTCCTCTAAGTCTGTTCTCCTAAACTTTTGTTGGTGGTATTTAGACATGCTGTTTTTTTCTCCTCTGGGTGTGCTCTAGGATTTGATCTAATTGTCCTGCTGTTCGAGTGTCACTTGGCATTATTATTGGGAAGATGAATGGTATGTGGGTCAGAGTTCAGCAAGAAGGCATCTGCTCGCTTCCACTGTAAAGTGGAAATGCTTAGAGGTGATCTTTAATGAAAGCTTGGAAAAGATTTGCACAAGGCAGGCTGTCCTCTATTCCTCCAAAGCAGAGGGGACCAAAGGTTATCCTTTTCTGGAGGGACAGAAAATGAATAAAAAGGAGGTAGAAATCTCTTTACAGGGAGTTTCCTGCTTGGGATGTCTTTTCTTCTGTAGGAAAGAAAATGGGGTGTGGTGTGTGGGGAGACAGAACGATTAAACAGGGAAGAGATTGAAAATAGAAGCTCTTGAATGGATCCTAACCATTCTGTTTTGCTCACAGAACAATCTGATCCAAGAAGTTTCCACTCTACTTGCAACGACTCTCACCTGCCATCTCCCCTGGCCTCAGGTTACTGTGCCATAGCAGGCTCAGGTTCTCTTACTGGACTCTCTTCGAGTTGACAGTTCTCCCACTTTACCAAATAGCCAGAGGCCTCACAAAGACCTAGAATTGCGTTGGCATTCTAGGCAAGGGGACAATGAACCCATTGTTCTTTTTTTTTTTTTTTTTTGCCTTCTTAAATAGGGCAAATATCTCTTCCATTTACCCCTATCATCAAAGGAGGCTTAGTATGGGGTCCTCAGAGACTCACCTTCCTTCCACTCCTCCTTTGTTGTTTGGAAGAGTTATCGCTAGCCCCCTTCTCGCCCTCGCCCCATTAAAGCTGTTGTGGGACCCGACTGGACGTTGCCTTTTCTTGCTCTTAAAGGAGTGGAAGTTGGGAGGGGAAGAAAGAAGCACACACCAGGAAACTCATTTTAGTTCGGGGCGACCTGCAGCCTGTGGTTCCTCCTGGACCTCTGGGGAGACGCATCTCGGTTGCCCGCAGGGTAGAAAGCAAGAGAATGGCCCACAGGAACGCCCGCGCCAGCGCTAAAACCACACCGGGAGAGGACAGCCCCACGTTACCGAGGACTCGAGGCAGAAGCGGTCTCCAAGGATGGGTGGGGATCCCACCACTGGCTTCCAGCTCTGCATGCGCCGCGGAGTCCCCGCGCAGGGCGCACCTTTGCGGCGGGGTTTCCCCGCTGCCTTCTGGGAACCCCGCGGAGCGACTGCCGCTGGACGCAATCTGGCTGGCTTGCCTCTACCCCGAGCTCACTCTCTCTGCTCTGTCTGGGCTCTGGAGCCAGAGCTGAGTCTCTCTTGAGCATGCGCAGCCCGGCACCCTCCCCGCCTCTCCCCTCCTCCGCCCCCTCCGCGCCAGCCTTTTGCTCTTTCCTTTCATTAAACAAACAGGAGATCCTGAAACCTGGACCCTGTGCAAGCTGCAGCGCCAGGAGGAGGCAGCGGAGGAAGCAGAGCGCGGGATGGGCGCCCAGCGGCATCTGTGATCCCGCGCACCTCCGCCCCACGGGCGCGCGCACAAACACGGACACACACATACACACACTCGCGCACACACTCGCACAAACACACACTCGTACACGCCCGCGCCGCTCGCTCGCCGGCTTGCTCTCCCACGCAAGCGGAATGCAGCAGCGCCTGGAGAGCGTGTCTCGGACCGCCGCCTGAATGTACCTCGCTCCCGGGAGCCGGACGGCCCAGTAGGGCGCACTGGAGGACGCTCCGCTGCGGGAGGTGAGTGCGGCGCCCGCAGCCGGGCCGCTGGGGAAGTCTCTGCACCGGGGCAGTAGGGCAGCGCGGGGCAAGCTCCTGGCCGGACCCGGCGGCGCAGGTGTCCCATGCCTTGCTTGTGGGTGTCGAGGTGCAGATGAAGGCGGCGCTGGGGCTGTGCAGAGGAGAGGACGAACCCAGGGAGGGTCGCCTCCTGCGAGGTGTCAGATTGACCCAGCAGAAAGCTACCACCTCCCTGCTCATAAACTTTCCTTCCATGTCATCTGGGAAACGTGGAGACAAAGGGGGCGTGGAGGCTCCCTCCGTCCCGTTCCACCCTCCTGACTGCATTCCGGGCTGCAACGCGAGCCTGCACGCGTTGGGTGGGTGTGCAGGCGGAGGCGCCCTGCAGGTAGCTGATGCCAAGTCCTCCCACCCGGGCGGGGGTTGAGATTTCTCACCCCAAGCTGTAAGGGTTGCCATTGATTTTCCCTCAGGCATGGGCACCTGTCATCCTTCCCTTCCACCCCTCTGCGTCCTAGGCGCATAGTGGGGTGTGTGTGTCACCTGGAAAATTGGAGGGGCGGCCTTCGGCTTTCTCATCGAGCTCCGGTGCCAAAGGCGCCGGGGTGAGGCTCGGGTCAGTGCGGGGATAAATGATGAGTTACTGACAGGCTTGCCATAATCACCTCCTAGAACGGAGGACGCTAGGATCTCTCCTCCTCAGGGAAGGTGCTGTCTTCACGCACACCATCGCGGCAGCGCTGGGAGCTGAACAGGGGCTGCTGCTGCGGCGGCGGCAGTGGGAAGACGGGGCTTTATCCTCTCCCAACCCATTTCCCAAGGGTTTTATGACACGCACGTGTGGAATATGTGGAGGATTCTGGATTATTATTTTTCTTTGTGGGGATGTCGGGTTTTTTTCCTTTCAACCTCTTTCCTGGGAGAGATTCTGTGGTGTCTGCTATCTAGTTGGTGGACAGGCACGGTTCTGAATATCTCTTCGGCCCGACGGAAAAGGTCCTGAGAAAAGGATTTCCTAAAATCCTTTCTACTACTGGGGCGGGATCTCAGAGTGCAGTGCACCCGCTGCACCCGGGAAAAGCGTCAAATCGAATGGCCTTTTGAAACAGCAGAGACTGGGTCAGCCTGTGAGGAGTCCAGGACTGGGACAAAGGGAGATAGAAGAGGGACAAATAATGGTCACTTAGGAGAGGTGTGACTAGAGGTTAATGAAGGCAGGAAGAGGTTGACTGGAGGGGACGTACACTACAGCCTTCACTGAATTTCTATGCCCCTTCTGCTTGTATGGTTGGCAGCTCCTATTCTTCTGGTGGGACGCTAGTTTTGAGGTGTCTAGAATGTCACATCTGGAGCGTAAAAGACTTCACTATTTCTGGGATAACATTTAGCATACTTACAAATTAGTTGTTTAGGTCTAGAAAGTGCCTCGTGTGAAAGTTTCTCCATCTTGACGTGTTGGTTGTACCTGAAAGGCGGGTTGGGCAGACAGGTACATTTTTGGCTCTTGTGCACGTCAGGAGCCTTGTATTTTTAGGAAAAGTGTATGGGGAATCTGGAAGCCAAGCTGATGCTGAAAGAAGTAAACTCCGGAAGCTCAGATCCAGTACTTATGCCTGCTGCTCCTCACGGGTGGGGGTGAGGGCTTCTCTTCACTTTGAGATGACAGGTTGGGGAGTCTCTCTGCTGCTTGGGATGGGGACCTTTTTATCTTTAACATTTTGTGACTTCTTTGAAGTGGGAGAAAGCATGATATTTGTGAGATTAATTGAGAAATGACTTATGAAAGTGATCTTCACTCATAAGTAAGCATAGCCAAAGGTGAAAAGCTTTTTTAAGAAAGGAAAAAAAGAAGCAGGGGGTGGGGGGGAATTGGGAAAGGGATGCTTATTATTAAAATAGTTTCGCTTTTATGATTTTAAAGGTATTCAGTAAGATAGAAATCTGAGTGTTTTATTTTCAAATAACTAGGGAAGTAAAGACCTTTCCAGGAATATTTTCAAGTGAAATTGGCATAGAGGGGATTTAACTATAATTGTCAGCATATGTCCTTTTTATCCCATGGTGAACACTCTCATCATTTTCTTTGAAAACCTTGGCAAGAAAAGATCAAGAATATTTTTTGCTTTCACTAGAGCTCTTTATTTGCTTTGTTACTATATATTTCCTCTTCCTTCATCTGCAAGATCAGTTTATTTTGATTATACTAGATTCTATTTACAAGGATTTATTGACCACCTATCCTGTATTTAGCATTGGAAGTCATATAAAATATGTAACATAGTTCTGTCCCTCAAAGTGTTTATGTTCTAGTTGTAAATACAAGATGAACACACATGAAATAGAAAGCAGGATGGTTCTGTATTGTACTATGAGCTCTTAACGTGTATGCTGTACACTTCATCCCCTCCTCCTGGATTTTCTCACCATTCAGAAAACATGTATAAGTACTTGTTACATGCTGGAGGCTGGGGAAAAAAAGATAAGAAAGTAAAAAATGGTCCCAATCATCAAGGTAACAGGTATTTAACTATGATGCAATCTGATTAACTGCTGTAATTGTAGGTTAAACCATGTGCCAATAGTACAGGCATGAAAGTGATTTTTTCCTTTCCCTGGAGGATTTGAGCAGGTGATCTTTGAGAAAAATGAATAGTCTTTTACCAGGGAGGAAAGGATAGAAAGGACATTCCAGGCAGAGGAAATACTTGAGAGTGTCTGATAAATTAGGGTGGCAATAAGCCATCTCATGTGGTTAGAGCCATTGAGGGTGAACAGCATCTGGGTGACACCAGTTAACAAGTAATGCTATAGAGTGAGTTTTTTAGAGATATGCTCAGAATGCCATGGAAGCACAAAGGGAGGGCATCCAACTCAAGGAGAGTAAGAAGATCAAGAAGGTTTCTCAGAGAGCTTGACATTAGCTGAGTCTTGAACAAGGACAAGGAGGAAAGAAGGGCTTTCCAGGCAGAAATATCTCTGAAAGGCCTGGAAGTAGTTCTGTGTGGCTGTAGCGACAGATATGGGTTCTTAGCTTTTTGCAGTGGCACAACATCAAGCAAGAGACATAAGCAGCAATCAAGTGTGAATGGAACTATCCAAGCATAAGAACTTCAATTTTATGGGGAAGGCTAGGGGTGTTTGTTTGAAAGTTGAGAAAGTTTGAGACATGATCAGATTTGCATTAGAGAATGATGACTGTGACTACAGTGTGGAGGATGACTTGGAGGTGTTGAGACTGGAGGCAGGGAACTTATTGTGGAAATGTAGGTGTTAAATGATGAGGGTGGTGGCAGTAGGGGTGGACAAGAGGAGATGTATCTGAAAGACAAGTGAAATAAAGCCTGCTAATATAAGAAGGGCCTTCCTTCTTCTGTGTGCTCCTATATCACCCTCTTCTTTCCTGGCATTCACTTGTGTAGCTGCCTTTTTTGCATTGTGAGAGTAAGGCATTCACAGTGGCATCACCAGCATTTAGCACAGGCCTGGTATGGAGTAGGGACCCAATAAATATTTGTTGAATGAATCATTAAATAAATGAATGAGAAATCCAGCCATGAGGTGATGATTCCTGCATTAGAATAGTAGAAGATAAATCATGACTTCCATTTCTCCAACGTGATCAACTGACTTGGAGGTCAGTGTTAAAATGTGCCAAGGAGGCCACAAATCAAAACAAAAAACATATTTTCTCAGCTGCCCCTATGAAGAAGAACTGTACCCTGAAGTGCCACTAAGAAATAGCATCATGACTCTTTTTTATGTTTAAAAAATGAGCTCATCACTGCATCTTGGAAGCAACAGCATTTAGCACAGTTGCTGATACATAGTAGTATGGCAGTGTGTATAAATTCCCTTTTCCCCCTTTCTTGTCAGAATTTCCGGATTTAATATACATTGTGAAAACTTTAAAAATAATCTGCACCAGAGAGTTCATAAGGATCTCACTTAAAGAGCTCATTGCATCTTGGCATCCTGGAATGAGGGCCAGATCATCTGTGTTCCAGCCATCAACACTGCAGACCCAGGAACTAGGTCCCTTACTGAACCAAGCCCAAACATGTTGAATTTCAATCTGAAAATGCCATTAAGAGATGCCAGAATGGGGAAAAAACATAGTCAGAGTTTGTTTTCAAATTGACTACAGGGAGTGCAACAGAAGGCAAATCCAAGATAGCACTTCGGGTTTGACCATTGGTAGCTGGATTGATGGTGACAGAGGGATGGGGAAGGAGGTTAGCTCAGGAAAGTAAAAGGCTTAATGCTGTTTTGCAGAAATTGATTTTGGGGTGACACCAGAACATCTTGGAAAGCATTAGTAGAGATCCCAGCATCTAGTGATTTCATAGTAAATGCCAAGTATTATTTTTATTAGGGAAGAAGATGGGAAGAGAAGGACACCATACAGCCAAAGACTAAATTTCAGCATTTAGCAAAATATAGGGATTAAGGAGAGAAATAAGCCCCAGGAAAGAGCATAGGAAGTGAATACTCAGACAAGAAGGAAAAGAACTGGCATGAAAGCAAAAGCCTCAGGGAACCATGAGGAGTGCTCAGACTTCACAGAAACAGTCCCAACTGTGCCAGGACTTGTTTAAATGCCTCCACGTGGAATCCTATTTAATCTTGACAACACCTATGACTCCTATTCCCACTTTACAGCTGAAGCAGCTGAAACAGAGAGGTCCCAGTAGCTTGTCCATAGCTACCAAGTTACAAAGTATCAGAGTCAGGTCTCAAAGCCCATTTTCATAATTGTACAAGCAATTTCCTTTCATCAAATGTATAAATTACCAGGATGATTTTAAGTGAGGGGAGTTTGAAAAGGTTGAAAGTAGGGAACTGAAAAAGGACAATGAAAAAGAGTTTTCTGGTGACCATTAGGAAAGCAATTTTAGTATAGCAGTGTGCTCAGAAACCATTTCAGAGAGTTCAGTGGGGAATGGGAGGAAAAAAAAAACGTGCAATGCGTAACTATCAGTCACTTATGAAGTCTAGCAGGGGAAAGAGTTATGGGGCTGTAGGTACAGTGAGAAGGTACAGTGAGTCTCAAGTGCATTTTTTATCAAAAGGGAGCAGATGGAACCAGCTAGTGTCTAAGAACAAAGGGTTTGGGAAATGAGAACAGGAGAGGAGAGAGAGAGGAGAAAGGATGCCTTTCTCCAAGAGCATGCAAAGATATATTTGAGGACAGATACAGCAGATGCTCTTCTTCCCCACAACTACATGACTGAAATGAGTCCTCTAAAACTCAGAGAATTCAGATCCTTGAATGTCCTGGAAACTTAAGGAGCCTCTGAGTGCCATACCTCAATGGTACCACTTGGGCATGCAGGCTGATGAGCCTGACTTGTTTATGTAGCACAGCGGTTAAGAGCACAGGCTCTAGAGTTAGGCTGTTAACCTGAATTAATTCTGAATTGATTCAGAATTCTAAATTAAATGAATTCTTAATTCTGGCTCTGCCACTTATAAACTGTGCGACTTTGGGCACACAGTTTACTTCTCTGTGCTTTCAATTACTCCTGCTTTTAAGATGGATCCCATTGCAGAGGTTTGTGAGGATTAACTGAGTTTGTTGTAAAGGTCGGACAGAGTAAGTACCTAATAAATGGAGAGTATTAAGTGTGATAGCAGTGAGGTTAAAAACATAAAGCTTTGACTTTATGCTCAGGACTCAAGAGATGGTGTGCTTTTGCATTCATTAAAAAATTTGGGGGCGGGGGGGTTGGTTATAAATAGTTGGCTTGAATCCTGTCTTCCTAAGTGCAGAAATTAAATCAGCAGACACAAATATGGCAGGCGCAGACCAGCTCGGCTGTCATAAGCCTAGGTAGAGTAGACATGTGCTGGAAGTACCTGCCAATAACACTTGCCTAGTTGCCCACTTCTCACACCTGTCTGGGGAAGATGAAAGTTTGCTTGCGTTTAGCCTAGTCTTTGCACCTTCAGGCTCATAGGCATCAGACAACAGGGACTTAGCTGTTTAGCAGATTGTTTTAGGGAAACGACTACTTGTATTAATTACAGCACCTCTTTGGTACTGAGGGACATAAACTGTAAATATCTCAAATGTGAGATTTACAACATTCCGTAGGAAATTAAATGCCTCCCTTCATGGAAAAATTTGTCATGTGTTCTAAAATAGAATCCCAGTGGATGTGGAAACTCTGTCATCTAGCTATTTGGCAGCAGGGCAGGAACTGCAACCCGGGTTTGACTCATAACTCTGTGTCTTTGCATTATACTCTGGCAAATACTTCTATTACTGTGCTATAATCAAAGACTTTTTACCCCCCATCCATCCTATTAATGTTTCATCCAAACTAAACTTCTTACAGTTACCCCCATGAGATTTTTCTTTTTACCTTCAGGCCTTTCGCCATGCTGTTCCCTCTTTCTGGAATTCCGTCCTTGTCTTCCCCTAACTCCTTTGGGTTTTTAGGTCAGAGTCTCTTTCTAGGGAAGTTGTCCTGACCTCTTAACTCTAAGGTTGGCTTCTCTTTCTATGTGTTTCAGTAGTCCCCAACTCTGTATTTTTTTGTGCCTAACATAGTGCTTGGCATATATAAGCGTTCAGTAAACGTTTTTGATTGAATAACTGAATCAATTACTGAACCAACTTCTCCTTTTGAGTCATTGATGACACTTCAAATAAAGCAACTTCATATTATAGAAAATCATAGGATTGTCCCAAGTTCAAAGATTCGTTAGAAGTTACCTAGTCAGACTTTCAAGTGAAATGACACAAGGAAACTGAGAACTAAGGAACTGCAGCAACTTACCTGAGGCTTTTGCTTACTGTAGTTAAGTGATATCAGAATGGAGGCCAGAATTCTCATATTCTAATTTCAGACCCAGATTCTGCCCAGGGCTGGGGTGAGGGTGGGGTGAGAGAAGCAAACGCAGGATTGGTTCCTGACTTTATTTAAAATTTTGATACTGTGTGTGTTCATCATGGAATGTTGCATTACGATTTTTTTAAATGTTGCATTAAAATATTGTTTACCTTGATTACTGAGTTTTTTGGAATGTCTTAAATTTTGTGCCCAATGCAGGTGCCTCACTCATCTGACCCTAGTCCCAGCCCTGCTCTTTCCACAAAGGATACATCCTAGCTTTCCTATACTGGTGTAAAAATGCAGGAACAGTGTATATGGCAAGGGCCCTGATTGAAAATATTGAAACACCATTCATCATTGTGGTATGAACTGCTAATAAGCATTTCATGACCTGGCTAATCTTCTGGTCAATAAACGTTATATTCACATTGTAAAAGCAAAGCCAAAAGGATAAGAATAAAAGCTCTATCTGCCTGTCATCTCTCTATTTATCTCTTTGTCTTAGGGCTAGAGGAAAATGTAAAGATCATCTAGACTAGTCCTTAATTTGTAAATTTACATGTAGTTATTACTATACTTCCATATTTTTAAGTGTTTTGAAGACCCAAGACCCAAGATAGAAAAGAGAAGAAAACTATTCCATTTATAAACTTGGCTGGTCTTGGCTTATGGCACTGCTGGCCTGTTTTGAAGATTTGAGGTCAGAAGGTAGAATGGCCAAGCTTGGAAGGTAGAATGACAAAGCTTGGCTATTTCTGCCAAAAAAAAAAAAAAAAAAAAGAAGAGGAAGAAGAAGAAAGGAAAGAAGCATGAATGAAAAGGATAAAAAGAAATAGATGAAAGACATTTTCAGTAGGCCTCCTATGTACCATACGAGCTACTACT
This sequence comes from Homo sapiens, assembly GCF_000001405.40. NCBI lineage: Eukaryota > Metazoa > Chordata > Mammalia > Primates > Hominidae > Homo > Homo sapiens. The sequence goes on from NT_187578.1 coordinate 88,030, forward strand.
ATGGATTATTAACCTCTACAACACACTGGAAAATAGGTATCAGTATCCCCATTTGACAGCTGAGTAAACCAAGTCTCAGAAAACTGAATTAAGAGCTTACCTAAGCTCTCAAAGCTACCGCTGGACTGAAAACCTGATCTAAGTCCAAAATCTATGCTTATCTTATTTAATCCTTCTGATTCTCAAAGGTGTAGAGTTTCAGATCACCCCATAACCTTCTTGCCACCCACGATGCCATGAAGCTTTAGATGAGAGCTTCAGCAGCTTGTCCATGTTAACTGGATGGGAAGTCAGCAGTCAGCTCCACATCGTGCTGTTATTTCCTCATTATACGGTACATTTATCTTTTTCCATTCATCAATAACAGGGAGAAGAACTGCATACACATAAGAAATAAATCCCCTGCTTGTGTGAATGTTATAAATTTTTACATGACATGATAGTCCATATTGTATATTGCCTCCATTATGTTAGAAAGGGCTTTTTCTCTGGGTATTATGGCATCAAGTGTTCTAGAAATGCTTACAGACACAGGGTGAAGAAAAAGTGATCATATTTACTGGAGCAAATCTGTCACAATGAAGGGTAATGTGTTTGCATGGCTCTCTGTCGAGGGGTTCTGGGGTGCCCTTTTTATTGAGGTTTCTGATGAGTAGCATGGACCTCCCCCACCAACATTTAGATTCAATGAAATACATAATCAAGTGGAATCAGATACAATTAACAAGAATAATATCTGGGTGAGAGCACTGCTGTTCGGCTCAGCAGCTCTGTAAGCCAAGCATGCTTTATCATTTTCCCATCTCCCAGCCTTTGCTAGCTATCGCTTCCAGGCAACCCACACACTCAAATGCTCTAATAATCAGCCCACAGCCTTCCCTCCTGGGGGTCACAGGAACTAAAAAATAGAAAGACCTTTTCATTCACACTTGTATTAACTGGAAAAAACATTATCTGTCTGTATTTTTTTTTTTCTGCTGTAAAAGCAAGGGAATATCTCTAGGTTTGAGACAGTCTTTTGGGTCTAGTTTTTTTTTTTTTTTGCATGGATTGACATGTAATATGTGACACAGACAGTTCCTGGCCAGGCTAGTTTGAAACAATGTATTTTAGCAATTAAAAATGAATTAAGCCAATTATATGTGTACTATGATAAAATACAAAATGTAGATATAATGAGGTGCTTAGTGTAGAAAGTAAATATCACTCATATTTCTGCTCTAACCTCTTTCCCAGAAAACGACTATCAGTTGTTTGGTGTATATTTCTTCAACATTTTTGGTCCATTAACATTTACATTTATTATTTTTATAAAGGTAGGATTAACTTTACATATTATTTTACTATTTACTTTTAGCTATAATTTCAAATAGAAGCAATTTCTTTTCATTAATAAATATTTGGTAAATATTACTCTTATATGAAAAGGATGACTGTTGCTTTCCATCTTAAAATAGAGCTCAGTTGATATATCTTAGGGTCCTTTGGCCATCAGTCCTCATGTATATTCAGTCATTGAACAAATATTTTTTCTGAGCTCATTTGAAGAGCTACCTACTGTACTATGTACTTTGGAAACATTCACATTCTAGCAAGAGAAAAAAATAACGAGAGGACTTAATAAATGGCAAAAGCTGTAAATTCTCCTTGATTCACAGAATTGCTTGAAGGGCTAATCTAATTTTTAAATTGTCTAATTTTTCTAGATAAGAAAATTAGGGTCCATCAAGGTTAAGTGATTTGTCCAGGGTTCCACAACTGGTGATTGAAGAGGCTGGGATAACAGGCAGTTTCCAGCCTGTTAAACCAGTGCTGATTTCATTACACTTGACTGCAAATCAACCCCCACATCAAGAAGAGGGAACAAGGGAACTCCACAAATACTAGCTTGAGCAACGGATTTCTGGCGCATTGAAATTCATGCCTTATGTAACTGCTGTTAACCCACAAATGGCTGCAGAGATTGCGTGCCCATCCTCCCGCCCATCCCTGCCCATATAACCCCTCACTGCACTCTATCTTCTCCTTCTCCATGGCCTGATATTCTCACAATAGAATAACACTTCGAAGTTAGACAACAATCAGCTGTAATATTGAGATCAGGTGGTGCCCATGTTACCTAGGGAGAGTGTTCATCTGTAAACATATTGGTAGAGATTTATTTTTCAGTTTAGCTTCTTGCCATCTTGAACCTTAAGGAATGAATTCCAAGATAAATGAATTTTACCTGCTAATTTTAATCAAGTCATGAAATCTTTGTTGTACTAACCAATGATTTTTCTCCATGATAGTAGCATAAATAGAACTCTGATTCTTAAATACTCTAATTATCCTTCCCTGCTCTGAAAGCAGGATCATGTGGTGGTTAAGAGCTTGGACTAGAGCGTCAGATGGAGCTAGGTTCTAGGCTGAGCTCTGCCATCCACTAGCTTTGTGATGTTATTCCAATTCCTTACTCTTATGAAGTCTCAGATCTTTTATCTGTGATATGGAGATAATAAAAGTACCCCTCCCACAGTGATGTTTTTATGAGATAAATAAATTACTTGCCTGAACACAGAGTCCACAACATGACCAATGAAACTGTAGCTGCCATTATCATTCATTATTTTTGATATACCCATGATATACAGCTATAAGGGCTATATCACTTGACATAGTGCTTAGAACCATTTAGATGTCAAGCTTTAAAATACTGAATAACACTCTTCTTACCTTCTGTATTAGTCCATTTTCACACTGCCGATAAAGACATACCTGAGACTGGGCAATTTACAAAGGAAAGAGGTTTAATGGAGAACTCACAGTTCCACGTGGCTGGGGAAGCCTCACAATCATGGCAGAAGGCAAGGAGGAGCAAGTCACATCTTACGTGGATGGTGGCAGGAAAAGAGAGCTTATACAGGGAAACTCCTGTTTTTTTAAAACCATCAGATCTCGTGAGACTCATTAACTATCGTGAGAACAGCACAGGAAAAATCCACCCCATAATTTAGTCACCTCCCACCGGGCTCCTCCCATGACACATGGGAATTGTGGGAATTACAATTCAAGAAGGGATTTTTGTGGGGACACGGCCAAACCGTATTGCCTCCTAAAAAAAAAAAAAAAAAATAGAGACTTAAACCAGAAGTTGAAAATATGACTCAATATGCTAATAATTTGAAAACTTTTCAGAATATCATCTTTAGTCATTGCTGATCCATGAACTGTAGAATTCAGAACATAGCAAGAGGTGGGAAAATGAAAGCATTTGATCAATACATCAAAACTTTGCTATAAAAATTAAACTTCAGCCCTCTTTGTCTGCATGATTTTATTTTCATGCAAATACTTGGGAATTGGTGATAATGTCTACCTTTCTCAAGCATAAAGATAACACTATTATCACTATTAGTTAAATATGTTTTTTCAAGTCTCATTTGCCTTAGTTATACTGGTAGGTCACCTGGATGTAGACACATATATATGCTTGCACAGAATCATGGAACTGAGGTGTGAATGTTAAGAATCCCAGCCACTTACTCAGTGCTGGAATCTCTTTTTTCATACTATGTCACAAGAAACTGTCCAGCCTCTCCTTTTTGGCATCAGGGCTCCATTTCTTCCCCTTCTTGGTGACTATAATGGATATACCCAAGATAGAATCTGATTGGGTGTGAGCTGTGGTTGACCAGGATCCTGAGAGTTGTTCATCAAACATCCCAAACATACTTTCATCTCAGGGTCTTTGCGTTTGCTGTTAGCTCAGTCTGGAATGCCTGTTCTGCAAAAACTTGAATGTCTCCCTTTCCCACCACCACATCTGCTCAAGTGTCATCAGACAGGCCTTCCCTCATAACTGTCTAAAACACTCAGCCCATTAATCTTTAACTCTTTACTCTGATTTGCATTTCTGCATTAGTACTGATAAATGCCTTATTATTCATATGTCTGTTTACTTGTTTATTTGTGACCGGCCTCCTTCTACTATGTAAGCATCATAAGATGAGGGACTCTGTATATTTTGTCCATTGTTATACCTCCAAGACCTAGAAGAGTACCTGTCACACTCTATAAATTTAATTAAAATGTATTTAATAAATGAACAAAAGAAAAAAAAATATCGTCTTGAGAATGGATTTAAGACACCGGTGGCAATCACTAGGTCTGAAACGCAGGAGAGCAAGAGAACATCTAAAATGTGACGTTAGCTCCAGAGGCCCAGAATGGGGGAGATCTGTGAACGCATAGTGGAAAATGGTCCCCAATGTAGGGGCTTGGTCCCATAGGACAGCTCTTAATGAGGCAGAGGTGTCTCAACCTGGGTTTCGAGTACATGGATCTCTGGTAGTTGGGGCATATGCCAGAGAGCTTACTTATGCCATGAGTCTATTTCACTGTGGGACCTTCCAACATTAAAGCTTTCTTCTTGATGGAGCTGAATTCTGCCTCCCTCTAGCTAGTTAATGGAAGATGGCCAGGTAAAGCGGTGCAATTCATATGGAAGAAGATGAAATTAAGTGGTACCCATAGAAATACAACTCCATTTTATATTAATATAAAGACTCATTTGTCTACAACAAAATAAGCAAATGCGACACAGATTAAGGAATCAAGGTGAGAAAATACCTTTGGTGAACTAAAAATATTTAGGACATATACCTTCTTATTTCTATATATGAACTGTTATTGAGGAAACACAAATTTCTATGGGAAATCTAGCTATCTTGGGATCTTTAAGTGTGAATGTACCTCTGGCTACTAGGTTTGGTTCTGGGTGAAATGCTGACAGATGTTCTTATGTGGTTTATTGTGGTCTGTGTGGTCTAGGGGACAGCAGCCAGAGGCAGCTCTGTGGAGGACTTTGGGGCCATAAAGAAGCTTTGGACTACTTGAAGTTGTGCCTGGAGTCCCTCCTGGGGAAGCTGTGTAAGGAGTGGCAGTGTTGCCTGAAAAACATAAGTCTGAGTCTCCGTCTCTGTGGATTTCCTTGGAGAGCAATTATTGAATGTTTTATGGTTCTCTTGCTTTGAACAGAAGTTTTCACTCACTTAAATGCCAACTACATGGAAGAATGTACTAAACCAATTGAAAAGAAATGTAAAATTCTTGGAAAGTTTAACCATGTTAAAAGAGAATATGATGGCCTAGACTCTTAAAAGATGTTAGCTTTTATGAGCGTCATCAGGGAAGGTAAGTCTGGAGGCAGGTGGTGGAAAGCTAAACACATATAGAGAAAATATAATTTATAGAAGAAGAACAGAGAGAAGAGAAATTTAATCATTCAGCACTGGGTAAATGGATTGCCTGACATTACAACAAGTTTAAAGTCACTAGAGGATAAATCAGAATTTATCAGATAATTTGTAGCTTTTTCAATAGAGCATTTGGAGGAGAGAACTCCACATAGCTTCTTTCATCAAAGGGTAAGCCTTCATCCAAGAGTGAAATCTTTTCCCTCTCTCACAAACTCTCCACTCACCTGTAAGTTTTTGTTCCTTCAGGTGTTTTCTTGAATTCAAGATTCTTTGTTGTGGATCCAAGGGGACAGTTGCTGAGATGAGGGTTTCTTTTTCCTCTTGTTCATTCAGAAAGCATTTACTGATCACCCTAGGGACACTTCTTTTGTCTAGGAATTTGCCTGGCCTACCAGATCTTCTGTAGCCAAGAGACTTTCTGCTAGATTCCCCCTCATGCCACATTGGACACCATCCTGATAATAATGATGGGTTACCTGCCAAGGTAGATTCACCTTTCAAAGAGACCTGCTACTGAACATCTAGAACCACAGCAAGAGACTTGAGAACTTTTCTTTTTCTTCAAAAAAAATTCTGGATTATTTCTCAATTTGAGTTTAAGGAATTCCTATAACTTAAGTGATTATACTTTTGACCAAAAGAAAGTTTAATGAAATTATAATTCCCAGGGTAATATTCTGTAAATGAGAATGATTTAAACATTTTTAAAATGGGAATTAAAAATAATTGTTTGATTATTATAGGAGATGAAGACACATACTTATCAGTCACTTCATATGGAATTCACCCAGGATAATTTCTCCTCTGACTTTTCCCTAATCTTCTGCCCCTTTTCTCCAGAGCTGCTTTCCCTTTGCATTTTTTTCCATAGGTTTTTGGGGAACAGGTGGTATTTGGTTACATGAATAAGTTCTTTAGTGATGACTTTGGTTTGCCCATCACCGGAGCAGTTACACAGAACCCAATTGGTAACCTTTTATCTCTCACCCCCTTCCCACCCTTTCCCCCTGAGTCCCCAAAGTCCATTGTATCATTCTTATGCCTTTCCTTCCTCATAGTTTAGCTCCCACTTATGAGTGAGAACATACGATGTTTGTTTTTCCATTCCTGAGTAACTTTACTTACTATAATAGTCTCCAGTCCCATCTAGGTTGCTGCAAATGCTGTTATTTCATTCCTTTTTATGGCTGAGTAGTATTCCATCATATATATATGTGTGTGTGTGTATATATGTATGTATATATGTGTATATACACACGTGTATATATACACACATATACATGTGTATGTGTATGTATATACATATGTATATACGTATATACATACACATATATACATATGTATGTGTGTATATATACATATGTATATATGTATATGCATACACATATATACATATGTATGTGTATATACATATACACATACATATATACATACATACATCAATATATCAGTCACAGTTTCTTTATCCACTCGTTGACTGATGGGTATTTCGGCTGTTTCTACATTTTTGCAATTGCGAATTTCGCTGCTATAAACATGTTTGTGCAAGTATCTTTTTTGTATAATGACTTATTTTCCTCTGGGTAGATACCCAGTAGTGGGATTGCTGGATCAAATGGTAGTTCTACTTTTAGTTCTTTAAGGAATCTCCCCCACTGTTTTCCATAGTGGTTGTACTAGTTTACATTCCCACCAGCAGTGTAGAAGTGTTCCCTTTTCACCGCATGCACCCCAACATCTATTTTTTTCTTTATTATTTTTTGATAATGGCCATTCTTGAGGGAGTAAGGTGGTATCATATTGTGGTTTTAATTTGCATCTCCCTAATCATTAGTCATGTTGAGTACTTTTTCATGTTTTTGGCCATCTTCTAGACATTGGCTTAGGCAAAGATTTCATGACCAAGAACCCAAAAGCAAATGCAACAAAAACAAAGATAAATAGGTGAGACTTAATTAAACTAAAGAGCTTTTGCATGGCAAAAGGAATAGTCAGCAGAGTAAACAGACAACCCACAGAGTGGGAGAAAATCTTCACAATCCATACATCCGTCAAAGGACTAATATCCAGAATCTACAAGGAACGCAAACAAATTAGCAAGAAAAACAAACAAACAAACAAACAATACCATCAAAAAATAGGCTAAGGAAATGAATAGACAGTTCTTCCTTTGCATTTGTATTTGTCTGCTCTCTTGCGTATTTTGGGCAGCCCTTGCTGCTGACTCCTACTGCTTGATCCCCACACTCTCCCCTAGACAACTTTGCAGTTCATACACGACTCCCTGAAAGAGAACACAGAAAACATTTGGAAGTGGTGGAGTGTGCTGTAAAGAGTGTGAGATTTCTGTCAAAAGTTCTGATTGTAAGCCTTACTTCTGGCTTATTCACTGTGCAGCTGAGAATTTTCTTAACCCCTCTGAGATTTCATTGCTTCATTTGTAAAATGAAGACAAGGGTAACTCAAAGAGAATTGTTTTGAGATAAAGTATTGGAGGGTAAATTTTAAAATTCTGCACAAGTACTCATTAATACGTTGTTTCTAATTTAGCACCATCATTTTATAGAAAATGAAAGGAGATGAAGTAACTCTTCCAGCAATGTGAAACTCAAATTTTTACTGTTCATTTTTCAATTGAAAACCAAAGCATATAGTATGAATCAGATGGAAATGCATGTGCTGGCTGAGGATATAAATCACCCTAGGATCAGATGTGTTTCTCTTTGATGTGTCTAGGAAGTGTTTTATGGTAAACTTGAGTACACGTGTGGCATTCATACAGGGAATCTCTTTACCTAATTTGCCCAAAATTACTTACTTAAGGGTATTAGGTGTTATGCTTACTATGTTCCCTTCTTAATTTGAGGACTATCTGAGATTACCCAGAGGAGTTAAGAAGATTCTCAGCCTTGATTTTAAAACTGTAGATGGGTGTAGAAGGGGGCTGCTTACAAAAGATGAAAATGGAAAGGGTCAAGGGAGCAGGGGTCTGAGCTGATCCAAAAGGAATCAGCTATTTCAAGACTACCTAGATTAGAAGCACCAAGGTCTTGCCAGACATAGCTGTGTGGTTTGAAAGCACCAAACTCAGTGCCAAAAGAAGGGTCTCAATGCCCTCGACCTCTGTAGAGCTGGGAGTGGGAGCAGCTAAAACCATTTTGACCCGAATCACTAGGAAAATTCAACTGGATGAATAGTCTAGATAGAATCTGAACAGGCTGATGGAGGTCTTGGCAGTTAGACAATAGTTGAAACTAGGCACATTCCTGTTCTTTTATTTATTCAATATATTTAAGTATGTATTAAATATTTGTGGAATGGGTGAGTGAATGGAAGTGTAATAAGTAAGTGAATGGAAGTGAATGAGTAAGTGAACCAAAAGAGCAATGAATACATGGAATGACTCTGAGCTTCTGAGAGTTGGAAGCTAGATGCCTAATTGGCAATAGGTAGGGAGAGAATGAGCCAACAATGCACTGGATTAGAGATCTGAAATGATTACTCTAAAGAAGCATATTTTAACAAGACAGGGTCAGATAAGAGGCTAGCCCCAAAGCTGTACAAGCCATGAGTGATGACAACACCTGATGTTTGAAGAGTTTTTAATATCCTTGCACTGCCTTGTGGACATAGTATAGGATAATAGGAAGAGCTTGGGCTCTGGAATCCACCAGATGATTTCCAGTTCTGATTTACTAGCTTTAACATGGGAAAGATATTTAACCTCTCTAACCTTCAATTTCTTCCTTGAAAAATGGGTTCATAATACCTACCACATATGATTGTTGTAAGGAGCATCTGAGCTGTCTGTAAATCTCTGGGACATTGTTCATTCTCAATAAATATCAGTTATCTTCCCCTTTCCTTGATCTTAGATTACAAAAATATCAGCAACATCCTCCAGATATGGACATGTTGAAAACCAACAAAAAATCATAGCTTCTTCCAAAATTACAGAAATTTATATTAACTAACCAACACTGGTTTACTCCACAAAATTCAACATACACATTCTAATGCATCTATGTGTCTGTAAGTGCACTGCATTGAGGCCCTACTAAACACAAACTTCACTTTATCCATTGCTGTGTGTGGACTTCACCCAGGAGAGTTTCTCCTTGGACATTTTCCCAGTTTTCTGCCCTTTTTTTTCCCCAGAGCTACTTTTCCCTTGCTTTTGTCTTTGTCTACTCTTCTGGCCATTTTAGACAGCCTTGCTGTTCCTAAATGCATGACGCCCTCCCCTTCCCCCAGACTGTTTTACAGTTCATACTTCCCCTCCACCCCTGCCCAGAGCAACAGGAAAATTGCCAAGTTGCATTTTTCCTTCTCCATCATCTGCTCCAATTTTTCTTTACCTCTTTTATTCTTTTTTTTTTTTTTTTTTTTTTGAGACAGAGTCTCGCCATGTCGCCCAGGCTTGAGTGCAGTGGCACGATCTCAGCTCACTGCAAGCTCTGCCTCCCGGGTTCACGCCATTCTCCTGCCTCAGCCTCCCGAGTAGCTGGGACTACCTGCGTCTGCCACCACGCCCAGCTAATTTTTTTGTGTGTTTTTAGTAGAGACAAAACTTTCACCATGTTAGCCAGGATGGTCTCGATCTCCTGACCTCGTGATCCACCTGCCTCGGCCTCCCAAAGTGCTGGGATTACAGGCGTGAACCACTGCACCCGGGCTACCTCTTTTAGTGTTACAAAACCCAGTAAAACATCCTTTAATCTCTCAGTGTTTTCTCAACTCTTATTCCCTTAGTTTATTCTTGCTGTTATGAATTTCATAAATCCTTTTAATTATTTTATTTTAACGCATTTATCTTGGTTAAGTATCACTGTTAGTATATGGCCTTTAAAATGGAACTTACTGAAACCCCCCCTTCTTTGGTCACATTGATCTCACTAGATTGGGGGTCGGGGGAGAAGAGGGTTGGTTTTGGGATGAAACTGTTCCACCTCAGATCATCAGGCATTAGATTCTCATAATGAACACGCAGCCTAGATCCCTTGCATGCGCAGTTCACAATAGGGTTCGCACTCCTATGAGAATTTAATGCTGCCCTAGATAATACATCTTTTCTTCCCCAGCAGAATGATTTATAGTTTTTTGAGTCTTATTTTTACTCTGAGATTCCCCTCCTCTCATATACATACATTTAGTCCTTTTAACCATTTCTAGATTAAGGGATTTTTGCTCCTTCTAGGAAGTTCTTGCACTATTCCTCCTTGACAGTTGGGAACTCTCAAGTTTTGAGGATGTCTTCCATACTTTCACATCACTGTTGATCAGAATTGGTTATAAAGTAATAACCTACTTAATGACTTCATCTGTCCATTGAGAAGTGAACTTGCGTAAAAGATGTTAAGGGTATATCTGAGCGCTGTGTGAAGCAAATTGTCTTTTAGCCAGTTTGTGGATATTTGTCTTCTATACCTACTCTGCCTTATTGTGGTGCATATTCTGTGCTTTGTGTCGGGAACACACCATTCCTTCCCTTCATCAGCCCAAGCAGTCTCCATCGTAACCTTACAATGGTATCATTTCAATTTCTCTCTCTTTTCATTTTTTCAGCTTCATTGCAGCCAGCATGAATCCACCCCGAGGATGGAATCATGTGATTTCCTCAGTATTTGATGCTCAGTACCTGTGCTTTTTAAAAGTGTGAATTTATAATGCTCGTGTAATTTATAATGCTCAAATGTCATTTAAATGCTCATGTAAAATTTATAATGCTCAAAACAGTAGTCTGTTTTGAATACCCTCCTGTCTTTGAGCAGCCCTTCAATTTTGTTTTCTACCCTTTTGATTACTCTCATGTTTTCTTTGCTCAGGCTACTGATCACAGCTAAGGTATTGCTAAGAACTTTAGAAACTGAACCTTTAATGTTGAAGGAAGTGATTTAACTTAGGTGTATCTTGCGGTTTTCCTCAAATTGTGCCATACCGGTAGGTGGACCCCAGCCTAGTATATAGAAGGAGTTAGAAAAAAATGTGTTGACTTGACTGACTGAGTGAATCACCTGCTCCTTTATCGCATGTGCCACACTCAGGTACCATTTGGCCCAATTTCATTTCTTCTTCTTCTGTGTCTTGAGAACTATGTCAGCAGAAATGTGTCAGAGAAACCAGTCCATAAATAGATGATTACTCATAGGGAGAGATGCCAAATAGGCTTGTTCTGTGTCCAAGAAAACACTGGGGCTCCTGAAAAGCAAAATGAAAAATGACAACCGAGTTTATAATTTCACTGGGAAGACAAAAGGCATAGACATAAGACAGCAAAATCCTTGATCTAGTGAACATTCAAGATAGGAGGTACCAGGCCTTCCCTGAGCTAATTAAAAGTCACAGGGATCCTAGAGCCCTTGGGCCTCTCAGAAACTGTGTTAACTTCTTACTGAGTCTCTTATATATTCCTACAAGATATCAGAGAAGAATACACCACTTTAGGTTGTAAGGCTAACCTGGAGAAATGGGGCTTAGAGTGAGCTAATGAATCACAATAAGCCAAAAATCACTTTTCAGGAAAAGGCTTCTTTTACTTTAGGTAAAGTATAAAGATTAATGTGACACTGTCTCATTTCAGGGAGAGTCACAGAAGCATTGATTTTATAATAGGAAACATGCACATCTCCTAATGCATTTGCATTGAATATACATACTTCAATAGCCACAAATCCTCAGAGGTCAGGAAAAATCTGCATTCAGAGCCATCTTCTACAGGGTGGCTATCCACTAGTACCCATAGGCAATGATGCCTTAAAATACAGGAAAAGGGTAGCATGCCATATGGCATAAAATAGGTTAATAAACATACTCTCCAAGAACATTACAAAATGATAAGAAATAGATAATAAAAAAAGAGCAAAGTGTATAAATAAGAAACTTATAAAAGAGAAAAGGCAAATAGTCAATATCACATCAAGGGAAGTTCAATTTCACTAGTGGTTAGAGAAATAAAAGCTCTAGATATCATTTTGCAGCTATCAGATCAGTAAACAATTTTAAAATTTTGTTTTCATTGAGCACTGGCACTTGTGTGTGCCCCTGTGTGTGGGAAAACACACTTTGAACACTGCAGACAGTTGTGTGAATTACTATAACAGTTTTGGGACTTAATTGGCAAATATTTTCAAAATTAATTATGTTTTCATTGAGTAATCCAACTTCAGGGAAGATAGAAGATATTCTAGAAAAATAAGGGTATGAATATTTAAGGATGTATCCAGTGATACAGCATTTAGTAGATAAAATCTGGAAAAATATCTAAATGCTTAACAAGAAGACATTGAATAAATTTATAGAGTATTAAATAAATTGAAACATTATGCCACTTTGACAAATGTGACTTTATGTCTATTCACCTGGAAGAATGTTCATTATCCTTTGGCAGCTGGAAAAATAATTATAGTGGCTTAAAAGTACATACTTCATGTTATATGCCAGGCACTATTCCAAGTATTTTACATATATTGCTTCATTAAGTTCTCACAGTATCAATATACAGTTGAGAAAACTGAAGCAGACAGATATAGGTTAAATGACTTGTCCAAGGTCTCACAAATGCTTAGGGGTAGAACTAGGACTTAAACTCTGATGGGCTGGCTCCGAAGTTGCCATTCTTAATGACTATGGTATACTCTTTTTCAACATATGGAGTAATGGGTATTGTAAAATTCTATTTTTGTATAAAAACAAAATAAAAAATAACCATATATATGTGTATGTATGTTAACAAGTGATCTTCTTAATAAGAGCCTTGATTTAAAAAAAAAAAAGTATAGGCCATGCGCGGTGGCTCATGCCTGTAATCCCAGCACTTTGGGAGGCTGAGGTGGGCAGATCACCTGAGGTTAGGAGTTCAAGACCAGCCTGGCCAACATGGTGAAACCTGTCTCTACTAAAAATGCAAAAATTAGCCAGGTGTGGTGGCGTGCGCCTGTAGTCCCAGCTACTCGGGAGGCTGAGGCAGGAGAATTGCTTCAACCTGGGAGGCGGAGGTTGCAGTGAGCCGAGATCGTGCCACTGCACTCCAGCCTGCAACAGAGTGAGACTCCAACTCAGAAAAAAAAAAAAAAAAAAAAAAAAGAGTATAAGCAATTCTCTGAGTTTTTTACACTTAGACCGGACAACTATAACAGGAGCTTCCTTAAAGATTCCAGAAAATTCCAAGATCTGTGATTCTGTGAGTTCCAAATTGATTTGATTTTTCCTCAATGTCTTTTTTTGGAAAAAAAACAAAAAGATGTACATGTGTTGAGAGAATTTTCTGTCCACTATGAGAAGTGGAGGGGAGTAATGGCAAAGATTTTATTTTAAATATGAAGTCATTAATATAAAAGACAGAAAAGTGATGAAAACTATATGTATATTTGAGCTTTCCAAGAAGGGCTTGGGTCTTATTTTTGATATCCAGACATCTGTGAGGAAGATTTCCCAAATGAGTAGGTGCTGGGTTTTCTGCTGTTTATTTGTTCCTGGCAAAGCCAAGTGTGAAGAGACAGCATCTGGGACAGGGAGTATTGTAAGGACGTGTTTGAGTATTGTGGAGTAGGATAGAACATGCACCCAGAAGAGGGAGGAGGGATGATGAAATTACACAGTGGATTTTGTCTTTCTGCTGGTCTTTCTATTGGTAGTGCCAAATTGATACAAAACATTTATAATAGTCACAATTGGCCCATCTTGATGCCTATTAATAGCAGCATTGATTGATCCTAGACAAACTAGAACTCTTCTCACTTTGAAACTCACAGAGTTTCAAAACCTGAAATTCTGAAACCCTTGTGTTACCACAACCTCTTAGCCTTTCATCTCATTGCCTCTGCACATCTCCTTTCATCCATCGGCTCTTACCCAGTCTCCTTAGCCTTCTCTTTGTCAATCGAGTGTTTCATCCAAACTCTACTGTCACTCTAGGTTCACTTTGTCTCCTCCCAGGACTTCCCGAAGATGATCCTTTCATAGTTTCATCTTGCCTCTATTACTTCTTATTTTCAGTCTACTTTTCCAGCGTATCTCACTCTATCGTCCCTTAAATGCTGATATTGATGAGCTTCCATTTTCTGTTCTTCACAACATTCAGTGTTGTTTCTGTTTTTACTGCTATCTCAGTTAAGGATGTAATTATTTTGCCCATAAGTTTTTACCCATATCCTCTTCTCTCCATCCCTTCCAATTCTTTGTTACTACTACTACTACTACTACTACTACTTCTACTACTACTACTACTACCACTACCACTATCTCTCTCTCTCTCTGTCTCTCTCTTGCTAATCATTATTGCCCCATTACTCAACATGAGCAGCAGCTCATCATGAAATCTAAGCTCTTTATTCTGGCACTCAATATCCTCCAATAGTAAGCCCCAGACTTTCTTCCTCACCTTATTTTCTACTTGCTCAAGTTGCATCAGATTTGTAGCCTTTCCACTAGCATGCCCCACATATTCCTGCTCCCATGTCTTAGACCTTCTTGTCTGGTGTGCACTTGTCAAAGTTTTAATTATCCTTCAGTACCTACTGAAATCTTCCTCCATCTTTCAGATGCTTCTAGTCAGAAATAATCATTTTCTACTTAATTTTCACGTTACATTTCTACTTCTGCTAGTGCTTACTTCATTACTGTTCTTGCTTTGCAGCTATTTTATGCACATGTTACTCTCTTCCATTTACTCTGCACCTTCTTCAAGGCAGGTAGACATTTATTCTTTAATTTAGAGATACAGAGCAAGTGTAAGTAATTCCAACACGCATTGGTGATAACCTCTATTTACATTTTAACGTGTATCCTTGCAGGCTTTCTTTTTGCCTACATATAGTTTTCTTCATTTAAAAAAATAAAATGATATTACCCTATACATATTCTTTCATAACTGGATTTTAGTATGTAATGAGACATAAGAATTCAATGGTAGGTAAATGAGTTATATTAGAAACAGACTGCCTGAATTCAAATATCTGCTTTATTGCTTACTAGCTAGGTAAACTTAGGCATAATATTTAACCTTTTTGTACTTCAGTTTCCTAATCAGTAAAATATAGATAAGAATAATACTTATCTCTTATGCTTATGGTAAGGATTAATAACATAATCCACATAAAATATGCCATAGTGTATTGAACATAATAAGCACATAATAAATATGTGTTACTTGCAACTATTATAAAAATATATCTGAACATAGCTTTAAGACCGTATGTATGGTCTTGATGAGTGGTTTTCAACTGGTGGTGATTTGTCCCCTTGGGGAACTTTGGGCATGTCTAGAGACATTTTTAGCTGCCACAATGGGGGAAGGAGTAGAGCTATGGTGTCTAGTGTATAGAAGCTTGAGCTACTGCTACACATCCTGCAATGCACAGGACAGCCCTCCACTCTCACAGCAAGGAACAATCTATAATATTTTATAATCAATAGTGGAATGGCTGAGAAGCCACAATCAAGGGCATCTAGGGCCTCACTTGGCACATACAAGATAGCGGAGAAGACAGACATGGCTGGAGTGGCTGGGATTTCCCTCTATGTTGCCTTTTTTCATAGGAAGCTGGCTTGGGCTTATTTGCATGGTGGCAGAAGATTTCCCAGCAGTAATAGAGGACAAGCCCCAATGTGCAAAAACTTTTGTATCCTCTGCTTAGGTCATATTTTCTAATGTCCCATTGGCAAAAGCAAGTTCTATGGCCAAGCCCAGTTTCAGGGGGTAGAAAAAAGAGATTCCACTTTTTAATCAGAGCTGCAATCCATTGTGGCTTAAAAGAAAATCTTCCACATAGGGTGGGCATACTGTCAACTGAGGCTCTTTTTGCTAAACTGCCTTCCAGGGAGGCAACTGGACTCAGTCAGCAATGGTCACCTGTATTTCGCTATCTCACAAATACTTCTAAGCTGCTGGTAAAAAGAAATTGGCACTTAAAGTCTTTGATCAGTCAGGTGAGAGTAAAAGGACAGGGCGGAGGCAGCACAAAATAGATACTTTATGTCAATCCATTTTTGATATCTCCACTCAGAAGAGCCCAGATTCACATGTTAAATAGCCTGATGACATCTCAACTTGGATGCCACACAGTACCTAAAACAGAACATGTAAAAATATTTACCTTCCCTCACAAAAAATGCCTACGCTTCCCATTTCAGTTAATGGGGCCACCATTATCTAATCACTGGAGCCTGAAAACCAGGTCTCCTCCTGGAGGCTTCTTCCCGCTCACTTCCTTTCTTAATGTCGTCAAGCCCTCCATTACTTTACCTCCTAAAGGTCTCTCATATTGATTTCATACTTCTCCATTCCCATCACCACAGGATTCATTTAGACTCAGAATTCCTTGGTTGGATCATTACAATATCCTTTGTGTCCACTGTCAACTCTTCTACTCTAATGCCTCCAGAGTTATCTTCCAAAAATAAACAATTTCAATTTCATGACAAAAATCCCTTGAATTTTATGTCCTCTGTGGAATCTCTGTGTCCTTCAGGGATTATGTTCAAATGCCCTAACAGGGTATTCATGTCCCTGCTCTGGGAGGAATGATAATTCCTCGGCCTACCTTACAAGATTGTTTGGAAAAACAAATGAGATACTGTCTGTATGTTGAATGAATGAACAAGGATATGAATCAATAAGTGAATACAAAGAAAGTACTTCTGTGTGGCTGCAGTAAAGGATCTGGAAGTTGTAGGGGAAAGATGCATCTTGAAGGATAGTCTGGGGCTTGATCATAAATGGCCTTGCGTATGAGGCTGAGAAGACAAGCCTTTATTCTGTAAAAAATTAGAAGCATATGATGGCCTCTGATACTTCACAAAATCTCTAGAAAAAGGTATATAAAACCCCATTTATCAGGCTGGGAGAGGTGGCTCACACCTGTAATCCCAGTATTTTGGGAAGCTGAGGTGGGCAGATCACTTGAGGTCAGGAGTTTGAGACCAGCCTGGCCAACATAGTGAAACCCCGTCTCTACTAAAAATACAAAAATTAGCTGGGCATGGTGGCACACACCTGTAGTTTCAGCTACTCAGGAGGCTGAGTCAGGAGAATCATTTGAACCCAGGAGCCGGAGGTTGCAGTGAGCTGAGATAGAGCCACTGCACGCCAGCCTGGGTGACAGAGCAAGACTCCATCTCAAAAACAAAACAAAACAAAACAAAACACACAAAAAAATCCTTTTTATCATAGAATTCAATATCAAAAACTATTAATGTGAATACTTTTGCCCACATTGAACTATAATTTCCTCATGAAACTTAATACCCCAAGTAGCCTGAATTCTATAACGTAATTTTCACAAAGGGTTTCAATTCACCAGATAATTTTTCAAGCCCCTCTCATGCATTCATTTATTTGGACACGACCTTTGACCTGAATCAAAAAATGATTCCAGAAACATTTCTGAAGCATATTGATGACAGACTCAATTGGAACAGAATCCAAAATGGTATTGGCGTACTGGCATTAAGGTGTAATATTTCTGTTAGGCCTTCCTGTCTTCAGCTGTGCTTTGGACAAACCCTTCTTTTAGACAGGATTTGTTCTTCACAAAGACTTATTGCTTATTATCCAGTACCCTGTGATCCCTGAGGTTATTGAAAATTGATTTGTTCCAGGGCCTTTCCAAGGTGCTGGCCACTGAAATCCTTGACCATCAAATGGAGGGAATTCCAAATAAATAAACAAATACATAAATAATAAACGAGCCTTCTTTGTTTCAAGTCTCTGACTTCCACTATGCCGCAAAACCTCTCCGTGTGCATTTGCTGTGTCAGCCAAAAGTGAAAAGACAGAATGGGAATTGAGGAAGGCCATTAGGAGCTGAAGCAGCAGGAATCAGATACGGAGAGCCCCCGGCCCTGCTGTGAGCATGAAGGCAGGGACGGTCTGTGGCAGGAGGGGAGCTAAGCACTTTTTTCTTTGCTTCTTGGTTAACAACGTGGTCATTTCATAAGCGAAAGGCTCCATGTGGACTGCTTAACCTGAGCTCATAGTTCAGTTCTTAAAATTCCAAGTCCCTTTAACTGAAAGGTTCAACTAGAACCAATGATTATATAAAATGGTTATCATTAGGATGGGGCTTTTCACACTTTGAATAAAATTAAGTTCTATTTTCCTTGAAGGATTTTTGCATCCTGTACAGGAGGATCATCTGTAACATTAAATTGTTTTTGAGTTTTTATGCTAACAGTGAAAAAGATCTAAATGGATTAGTCTTTCCTCTCCTATGCTAATCCAGGAAGCATTCTTTTGATACCCACCTAATAAAGACAATCTCTAAAACCAAATAATAGGCTATGAAATGTATTGTGAGTTCTTATTTCATTCAAGACAGAGCTTACCTTTAAGTCTCCAGCTGAGACAGTTGGTTTTATCTTTCTGAAAGCAGTTTGGTCAAGTGTTTCAAGTAAATCAAAAGATCGGTTAATCAATTCCTTAGCGAATTGGATTAGACACTCTCATTTCAAATGGCAGTTTTATGCTTACTCATTGTCTTGAATAATCTTAAATACTTTATGCTATCTTCCTGCTCCATTATTTATGTAATCACTGGCCCTTAGTATTCTGCTTTAGATCATATAAAATCACTTACAGATATTTTCATCACGCACACAGAAGCTCTTTATGTCATAATCCAATTTGATGGGTCTTTCCCCCTGCATTCTCTCATGTGGGAATTCTTGTTTTAACTTTATTGATCTGTCTGGTTTATTGTTGGGCCACATGGTTCCACATCACACGGGTAGGATGGAGAGGTACAGTGAATAGCCGTAGATGTTTTGAGGATTCTCTTGCTAGTAGACACAATTAACTTCATCTCTTTCAAGCTGTCAGTTATAAAGCCACTGTTTGCTTGGAATATATTTGGAATTTACGTCATGTTCCCCAAAGCTAACTGCCTCCTGTATCTGTAGTTGACAGTTTCTACTTTATGCAAGTTATTAATACAAAAGCAGCAATAGCAACAGCTTCCATTTATTGAGTCTTCTTAAGTGCCAGTCTCTGCATAAGTGCTTTACGGGCATTATTTTATTAATCCTTTGGTATTCTGGGGAAGTATGTACTATTATTACCCATAGTCTTTAGGTGAGAAAAGAGAGGCTGACAGAAGAAACCCAGTGCTTGTGTGGATGGAGGGAAAAATATGATCTTCTGCCAGCTCTCATTTAGAGCCTTTGCACATCTGTGACAGATGTAAGGCAGATGTTATTGACTCTAGTCTAGAGATGAAGTTTGTCAGATGAAGGAGTAAGTTATTTGATGACATTCACCCAACTAGTAAGTTACAGTGATAGATTTTAAAGCAAAGTCTTTCCAATTTAAAGCTTGAATTGTTGCAGTTTGGGACAAATCCTGAGAGAATTTGTTTAGGTAATTAAAAAAAAAATCAAAGAGATTGTTGGGCCACACTAACAGTGCCCCCTGATGTAGGCTATCACAGATTTATTATAGCATGGGCTAGTATATTTTTGTTTTTCTGTAGCAATACCTTGTGGCCTTTGGAGTGATTCAAATTAGAAGATGAATGGGTGTGGTGGCAGTGGACCCAGAATATTATGAAAATGCAAGACAAACAAGATGAGAGTGAAATCATCACAGAATATAGCCTGAGTAGGGCAAATGTACTAGAGCAAATTAGAAGGGGATTCATATGCAAGGGCTAAGGGGAAGAATTCATCAATTACTCAACCTTTGAACTCCAAAGAAGTAGTTCAGTAGGTGTGGAAGAGCTGGAGATGCAGATGTAGATAAGGAGATTGTGATCATGTCAGTGGACCAGTGAGTTTAGAAATGGGGATGGAGTGGACTGAAGTATGAACCACAAAGGAGTGGTAGGGAGGGAGGAATTCTAAAGTCTGAGGGTTATTCTCCACTGCTCCTCAGAGATGAGCCTACCACATCAGTCAAGCCAGGCTACTCATTACTCAACCCCCCAGCCCTCTGCCCTGTGTCCCCAGCCCAGCTTTCCAGGCACAAGATAATACGCCAAACATACCTAATGCATGAAGCCTGCCAGTGTTTATGTTGTTCTGCCCACCTTGAAAGCCATCTCCTCACCTGTAAACCCCGTATGTCTGGCACTTAGTTCATTGCTTAGCATTTTGTTGGCCTCAATTTGTGTCTTTAGAATAAATGAATGAAATAATACATTACTAGCAAATGTTTGAATGAATCCTATTCTTATTCCCAAAAAGTAATCCAATTTTTTAGTGTAATGTTAGATATATAAGGATGAAAAACGTGATTTGATCAACTATTTTCTTGGTTAAAGGAATGACATTAATATTCTGCAAAAATGTACTGTAAGTAGCAATATCATTTGGAAACCTATTTTTATGATCAGAAAAGTGGATTATTTCTCTAAAATGAATAAGCCAGTATCTGCATTATCAAGGTATATCATTCTAGTGAAAAATTTAGTATTTTTAACTGTTATATATTAATGGGCATTGTGGAAATGCACAATAAACAAGGTGATGGTATATTGTAAAAAAAAAATACCTCATTTAATAACTACTGCCTTTTTAGTGCTTACTATGAGCCAGGAACTATGCTTAGTGTTTTATATATTTATACTAATTTGCTGACAGTTTTCTCAATAGCTCAGAAGGTGTCCTTAGTATTCCCAGTTCACAGAGAAAGACACTGAGATTTAGAGATATTATCTTAGTAAATAAGAAGCCTGGAGGTTGAACCTTCTGTCTGTTCCTGAAGAACATGCTTTAACCACTAGGTTATATTCTTTTCTATTGGAAGGAGTGTTTGGTTGAGCCCACATTGCATCTACCTTTATAACCAAGCACATTTGTGTACACCTGAGAAGACAATGGGCTAGACAGGCTGTTAGTTTCTTTTTGCATGAGTACATTTGGAGGTGAGGAGGAAGAGAAAGTGGGCCTGGGGAGTACAACATGATGGCTTTTGTGAAACATCTACCTTCATGCTCTGCCCCATCTGAGCCCATTGGAAAGCACCATTTCTAAGTAATGGTGTGGCAAAGCTGAGAGGGAAAGTGTGGAACCAGAGCCTTCTTCCTTGAACACACCTAGAGGTCCATGGTTTTGTGAGCACTGAGATACATCATACTTGGCATGACTATTCTATATGGGAGAGGGGGCGGTATCAGCAGCTATGGTAGCAGCAAGGGACCCTCCTCAAATGGCTTTGCTGTCTGTGAACACTGACCAAGAGAGCTGGAATGGGAGAAGTAGACCCTGACAAGTACCATGTGATGATGAGAACTAACAGAGCCGTTTGTGAGCTCACATAAGATACTTCATGGGGCCCACCAAACATATCTGAGTGAGACTCTGAGGAGGTGGGGGTGGGGTTGTTTGCAGGTCCTGCCTGAACAGATGGGGCAGGAGACAGTGAAATTTGATTTATTACAGCTACTGTGATCCCATCTGTTGATGAAGCCCAGAGAAACTCAACCATCCCAGACTAAAGTTACTCAATCCCCCATTGCTAACAGAGGAGATGCAACTACTTAGACTGCGTGTTCAGTCTGAAATAGTATGGGGAATAGACATCTTACTGTTAATTGTGATATAGGCAAAATAGCATTTTGTACTTCATAATGATACCCAGGATAGCATAACATTTAAATTATTTTTTTCTAATTTTCTATGCCATCTCTTTTATTTCTCACTGCTTAATTACGGGGCAGCCCCATTTTATAGGCAAAAGAGTTTCTCAAATTAAAAATAATATTAACAACAGTAATAACAACAATTAAGTTCCAAAGCATTATACTAAGCAAGTTATGTGCACTACTATTTAATCCTTAAAATTACTCTGTAAAATGAGTATTGGTGTTATTTTCATATTATGGATGAATAAATTAAGGCTCAAAAAAGTTAATTAACTTAAGGTCACACAGCTAACAAATTTCTGAGTCAGGGCTTCAGTCCATATTACTCCCACCTAAAAGTACATACTTCCAGCCACTTACTATTCTGGTGGGGGGAGAACTAAAATTCTGATTTTGTGATTATCTGTGAAATAACTTTTTGGTCTGTTTTTTACCAGCAAGGGAGTTTTTCATTGCATATGAGGTAGACATTCTCTTAAATAACTTTTTTTGTGTGATCTTTTCATTAATATGTATCAAAAAGAAGCATATGATTTTCAGATGGATTCATTTCTCTTTTCCACTGCTTTCATTAATTTGAATATCAAAGAATTTGCTTGTTTATACACACTCAAGAAGGAGCACTCCAAAAGGAGACAAAAGCAACTCTCTGAAAAGGTTTTAGCATGTTTTTATGAGTAAAAAATAGTTTGTGTGAATCATTCAGGGTTTGTGTGCATTACACACAATAAACTAAATGAGTATAACAAGTTAAATTTATGAATTAAGGATCTGGTAATTCACCAGCCACCTGTCTGTAAAAGGCTTTTGAATTTGGTGTATATAAAATGCTTCCTATAATTACATGGAGGGAATAGGCATTATGGCTGTAAAGTAATGAGATTAAAAATATGCAAGAATTTACATATTTGCAAACCATATATCTGATAAGAGGTTAATATCCAAAATATATAAGGAACTCAAGCAACTCAATAGCAAAACCACAAATAATCAAATTAAAAAATGGGCAAAGGGCCTGAATAAACATTTTTCAAAGGAAGATTTACAAATGGCCATCAGGTATATGACAAAATGCTGAATATCACTGATCAGCAAAGCAAAGAGAATTAAAACCACAATGAAGTATCACCTCACACCTGTTAGGATGGCAATTATCAAAAAGACAAGATAACGAGTGCTGGCATGGATGTGGAGAAAAGGGAACCCTTGCACACCATTAATGAGAATGTAAATTAGTACAGCCATTATGGAAAACAGTATGAAGGTTGCTTTAAAAATTATCTAAAAATAGAACTACAATATTATCCAGGAATCCCACTACTGGGTATATACCCGAAGGAATTGAAATAAGTATGTTGAAAAGATACCTGTATTTTCATGTTCATTGCAGCATGATTCACAATAGCTAAGATATGGAATCAACCTAAGTTATCATCAATGGATGAATGGATAAAGAAAATCAGTTATATATACATGATGGCCTACTATTCAGCCTTAATAAAAGAAGGAAATCCTGTCATTCGCAACAAGATGGATGAACCTGGAGGATATTATGTTGAGTGAAATAAGCCAGAAACAGAAAGACAAATACCAAATGATTTCACTTATACGTGGAGTGTCAAATAGTTGAATTCAGAAAAACAGAGTAAAATGGTGTTTACCAGAGGCTAGGAGTAGGAAAATTAGGGAGATGCTTGTCAAAGAACACAAAATTTCAGTTACACAGGAGGAATAAGTTCAAGAAATCTATTGTACGTCATAGTGACTACAGTTAACATATTGTATATTTGAAAATTGATTAGAAAGTAAATTTCATATGTTTTCACTACAAAAAATATTGATATGTGAGGTAATGCATATGTTAATTATCTTAATTTAGCCATTTCTCCATATATACATATAACAAAACACCATGCTGTTCACCATACATGAATATGTATAACTTTTACTTGTCAATTAAAATAGAGGCTGAGTATTAAAAATATATACAATAATTTAGATAATTAACACATTATTTTTTAATGCATTAAAAATAATGAGTGTAAGCTTTACACTCTGTAGCAAGATACAGGGATTTTATACATTTAAATGTGTGTTTTTCTCTCTAAAGTTGTCACTTTAGAATTTCTATATATAACTTATTCCAGTGATGATGCCATTTATTAAAACACTTTCAAAATTTCCCTTTGTGAATTTTCCCCAGAGCCACTTTATAAAGTACAAAAATGTTTTATCAATTTATAATCACTCCCTCCTTTTTTTAACAAAAAAAGTGGTAATTCTTCATTCTGTAATTCATCTTATTTACCAAACCAAACTCTGAACTGCTTTTGACCATTTTCTCAAACTAATCCTAGTGTCTCAGTATGAAGACTTGTCACCTTTCAAGAAATCCAAAGGACTGTGGAGGAAGCCCCCAGAATACTTAAATAATTAACTTCCCAGTGTGGATTATACCCTGATTGGGCCTGCATGTCTTTGAGGTGATAGATTCTGCTCTGCTCTTTACAAAAGCAGCATTACTCTGTAGTCTCACATATACAGATTGAAGATCTCATTTTGCCATTCTAATATCTTGAAATTATAAGATATGAAATATATCTAATTGCCTCTGTGAAAACAGAGGCAAATTTCTAGGCAGTGTGAGGTGTTCTTCTGAGCTCTTCATCCCATTAACTTTCATTTATGATATTAAAAAAACATGTTAATTAAGATATAACTTGCAAAATGCTCTGCAGTTTGTGTGTGTGTGTGAGAAAGAGAGGGACTTTCAGGAATTGAAGATTTTCTCTGCATGATACACTTCTGACAGCTGACTAAAAAGCAGCTCAGTCAGACATCTTTATTATGGAGCACAAGTCACATTTTAAACAACTGAAGCTTATTATTTTGGGATTTTCTTCTGGATTTGCCATCACTTTTAATGGCAAAAAGTGCAATTACATTTGCACCAACCTAGTAAGATTCACTCATTTGATTCCTGAGGCTCCCAGAGTCGTTTAGAGTTAATTGTCCCTAGTCTGTATTCCCTAGACTTGTTAGAGACTATTTTCTTCTCAAGATCAAGGAAGATGTTGTATTTATGCAGGGTCCTTAAAACATAGTTATTGTAACTGGCACATAGCAGATACAGGTTAATATTTATGGAATAAATGAACAAATAATTGGTCAAGGTCTCTGGAAATCAGTTTGAACTGCTTTAATATGATAACCTCTACAGTTCCTCTAAAATCTGAACGAAATTTTGGGGTGAGAAAATCAAGAAATAACTATCTAGCTGGCTTGAGTCTAGAATCTTCAGGAGAGATAAGAATTATCATGCTATTTGGAGTTGCTTTGATTACTTGTGAACAGCTGCATTTTGTTCATCAGGTGATATAATTGCATAGGTAAAGGCTAAAGTAGCCAAAATTGAAAAATGGTTAATGTATGCAGTTTCTAGCTGTCAATCAAACTCTGTCTTTTGCAAGTATTTCTGGGGCATTCACAGTTAATGACAAAATGTGGTGTGTGTGTGTGTGTGTGTGTGTGTGTGTGTGTGTGTGTATGTTTTCCTTCACAAACCTGAGCATTTCATGCAAATATCTGTCAAGGATCACATTAAACAACATTAACCACCTCAATGCAAGCTGAAAAATCCCTTCAAACTTACAGATATTCTCAGAAAGAAGGTAATTTTTAAAAATACATGTTTTCTTTTCAAATAATAATTGTGCAAATGGGGCTCATTGATTGCCTGGATTTTAGTTTAGCCCTCATTAGGCTACATACAGGCTAATATTCCTTTAATATTGGTAGACCTGAGTTTTGCAGAATAAGCAAACCTTTTGATAGGTTTTATACTTAAACATAGCAAAAAAATTATTTTAATGCTAGGTTATAGGCATAATCCTCACATATTTTAGTCTGTATTATTTTATGCAGTGATTTAAACTGCTACATTTAGGGAACATGTTTAGAACATCTTATGACACATTGTAACTGCATTGAGAGCACTAACTCCTGAAATGTAGAGAGGAAAGGCAACTAAAATTACCTGAAATTTGTTTTTTGTCTAAATATTCTTTCCCAGAAGAGACTCTCAAATGAAAACTGATCCAATAGATAACAATTATAAGGTAAGGCAAAAATAATAGGCTCTATGTTATCATATGGTGTAAGTGCTTGTGTTGTCTTTGGGCTTGTGTTTGGAAATATGGTTTACTCTGGGTCATTCATTTATCATTGTGTCCACCAGATTTGTGTAATCCTCATGATGATGATACCTTAATTTGCTACAGAGTCTTAGGTCATGCTCAAAGTTCAGTTTTGGGAGCAGCGGGAATGGGCTTGGCTTGATAAAGATCACATGATCTTTGTGTGTTCTCAGTCAACTGTTTTTCATATATCACAAGGGGTGAGAAGCCTGACATAAACTTTCTTTAACACAGCTAGAGTGAGATATTTGAGGAGATTATGTTTTCTAAAACATATAAAGTGTTTATTAAGACTTTCAGAAAGTGTAAAAGCTGCTAGGTAATGCACGAGGCACTTCCTTGAACTGTATACTTATTTCTTTTCATTTAAAAGAAATTCTAATTTTGTGAACTTTGTTCTTCTGGACCAAGCTGAAGGTGGAAGAAATGATGGGGGCTGCCCCATGCAGTCATTCAGGGTCTCACGGTGAAGGTGATATGGCATCCTCACATGTAGTTTCACAGATCCTTTATGTGTCAATCAGTGTCCAGCTGGCGCTTAAGCAGAGAGTGGAGAGGTTGTGAGTACCCTTCTAGTGGTGGCACTTCCACCCACATGCTATTGGCCAAGATTCAGTCACATAACTATGCTTACATGCAAGGGAGAAGGAGGAGAAAATAAAATATTTTACTAGAAAGCCACTTCTCTAATTCAGCTCCTCAACACAGAATAGACATTCTCTGGTAGAACACTAGCTGTTTCTTCCACACTCCTCACGTATTAAGCTCCATCCACCCTGACTTTTACCCTGATCCTGGCATATTTACATCTCAGGGCCTTTGTCTATGTTGTTCCTCTTCTAGGAAAATTTCTGCTGCCCTTAACTTGTCTGGTCATTTTTCTTTTCAATCTTAAGGTTTTTCTTAAACACTATCCCCATCAAAGACACCTTTCTTAATCACCTGTCAAAAGTAAGATTGTCCCAAGTACCTTGTTGGTTTTCTTTACAGCGCTTACCATAATTGGCCATCATTTGATCTGTTTACTTCCTTTTGTTTGTTTCTCCCACTAGAGTGTAAGCTCATGAAACTAGGTATATGATTGTCTTTTACACTATTGAATTCCTAATGCTTGTCACAGTGCTTGACATATAGTAGATGCTTAACAAATATTTTCTAAATTAAAGCAGAAGGCTCTGGGTTATGAGTAAATAATTGTAGTATTAAACTAAAACACCATTACCATTAATATAAATTTATAGATCTATGATTCTATAGACAGGTTTGACAAAACACAGTCAGTGCATCATTATTACCCTGTACTGACACTTTATATTAATCCAACTCATTCTTGAATTATTTTAAAGTAACTATTCCAATTAGCCATTGCTGTATAGTACATTACCTGAAAACTTAGTGGCTTAAAACAGCAACAATAATTTTATCACCTCATGGATTTTGTGGGGCAAGAATTCAGAAAGTGCTTGGCTAAACCTGGCTCAGAGTTTCTCATGGGATTAATATTTATAGAATGAATGAATGAATGAATGAATGAATAGGGTTATGGAATGAATATTTATGGAATGAATGAATGAATGAATGGGGTTATGGTCAAATATTTGCTGGAGCTAGACCAACAGTGGTGCCAGAGCAAACACAGAAGCTGCAGGTTTCCAAAGATCAAGTATTCCTGTGAGCCAGTCAGAAGCACATTGACATTTAGGACTTAACCTTGGAAGCAGGGCATCCATTTTGCTGTATGCCATTGGTTGAAACAGTCACAAAAGCCCTCCTGGTCCAAGCGGAGCAGACATAGACCCCAATTCTGGGTAGGAGGTGCATCTTCGTCTGTTTTCTGTTACTATAACTGAATATCTGAGACTGAGTAATTTATAAAAAATGTATTTCTTACAGTTCTGGAGGCTGGGAGGTCTAAGATTGAGGGAGCGCATCTGATGAGGGCCTTCTTTCCGATGGGGACTCTGCAGAGTTTTGAGGTCGCTCAGGGAGTCTCATGGAAAGGGGGCTCAGGAGAGAGGGCAAAACTGGGTTTTATAACAGATCTACTCTCGTGATAACCAACCCATTCTCATGATAATTGATTAATCAATGAATGGACTAATCCATGAGGGCTCTGCCTTTGAGACCAAATCACCTCCCAAAGGTCCTGCCTCTCAACACGTCTACACTGGGGACCAACTTTTTAAGACATGAACTTTTAGGGGACACAATCAAACCATATCAAGAAATATCAAAGGATTTGTGCATATATTTTTAAACTGTCATATCAACCAGGAGGGAATGAATCCTTGGACTTGCAGAGCATTTTAAGGACTTATTATTACCAGGCTTTCTCTCTCACCCTACTTTTTTATACAGGCCAGTAAGGAATTCCATAGCACTTAACCTCCTCCATGCACAGAACGCTCTTTAAGTAGCTGAGGTATGTATGTATTCAGAACTTCTTATTTGAAAAATGCCTCCTCTGCAGGGTATTGTAGATGTCATATTATGAGAACCCTGACATTGAATCGAGCACTCACTTCCTTTCAAACCTTTGGAAATAGGCTGTATTGATTCTTAACATTTCTCTGGCACATTTGTGGAAAACAGCTTTTCTCAGAATAATTGGTCTTGGTTTCCCAGCCTTAATATTCTACATAACAAATTCTCTGTTTTCATTAAGGCATTTTATTTATAACAAATGGGTCAAAAATATTCTTTACCCTGGTCACAATTCTGTAGGAAGAAATTGTCAAGCATTCTGGGATGCTGCTCTGTAACCATCTCAGTAAAGTCTTCTCATGAGATGGTTTAAAAGGTGGATAATTTGTGTTAGAGAACTCACAAACTGTTAGATTACTCCAAGTTCCAAAATACGCAGGAAATCCTTAATCAAATGTGTAACATAATCCCACTATTATTTTTACTATGAGACTTTATTTATAGTTAGAAATATACTGTTCCAAGTGTGACCTTAAGCAAGGATTCATTGACTTAAAAAAAACTTTTTATTTCAAAGCAGTTTTATTTTTACAGAAAAGTTGCAAGACTATTACAGGGAACACTTGTATAACCCTCACCTAACTTCCCCTATTGTTGACATTACTATGGTACTTTTGTCCCAATTCATGAACCAATATTGATACACTTATTAACTAAAATCCACACTTAATTCAGATTTTCTTAATTTTTATCTGTCTGCTTTCTGTACCAGGATCCCACTCAGGATACCACATTGCATTTACTTCTCATGTTTCCCTAGACTCCTGTAGACTGTTACAGCTTTTCAGATATTCCTTATTTTTGATGACCTTGACGGTTTTGAGGAATGCTGGTCAGATATTTCATATAATGTTTTTCAATTTGGGTTTGTCTGATATTTTCTCATGAGTAACAGGACTTATGGATTTGGGGGATGAAAATAGTCTGTTCTACCCATGTCTCATATCAAGAGCACATACTATCAATGTGACTTATCAGTATTGATGTTAACCTTGATCACCTGGCTGAGATAGTATGTGTCAGATTTCTCCACTGTAGCAAATTACTTTTGTCCCTACCCCCTTCCATACTTTGGAAGGAATTCACCATGCACATCCCCCTCTTAAGGAATGGGGAGTCATGCTCCACCTTCATGGGGTGGGGGTGGGGGAGTATCAATTTAAGTTATTTGGAATTCTTCTGTACAGGAGATTCATTTCTTCTCCCTCATTTATTTACTTAATCATTTATGTCAGTATGGACTCATGGATGCTTATTATATACTTTAGGTTATAATCCTATACTACTATATTTTGTTGCTCAAGTTGTTCCATCCTTGGCCATTGGGAGTGCTTTCAGTTGGATCCTGGGCTCCTTTGACATATCCCCATCATAGTGATTTTCTTTGGGCACTTCCTTACTTTCTGGCACTAAAAGGTGTTCCAAACTCATCTTGTATATTTTATTCCCCTGACCTAGAATCAGCCATTTTTTCAAGGATTCCTGGTCCTTTAATTGGAAAATTATATTAGAAACCAAGAACTAGCTACTGGATGTGCTTGTTGCTCCTGGGGTGGGTTCATTGAATTTCCCCAGCCTACCATTTATAAACACTTACCTACCATTTATTGAAGAGCTACTCTGAGCTAGACATTTTAGTTACACAAGATGAAAAAATTATCACCCTGCATGATGGTGTTCCAGATGAGAGAATTCTCATATGTTAAATGTCTTGCCTGAGATAGAGAGCTAGTAAATGGCAAAGCTACTATTCAAGCTTTGTTCTCTGTAATGGTAGGACAGTGTTCATTTGCAATGATGCCTCAACTCTGTTGCGAGGTCATAAATTTTTTTCCTGCTGGTAGTCAACTATTTTATAGGTTCAAACTGTAACTGAACAATATAATATTTCTGTCTCAGTACAAGTCACCAAAAAAAAAAGACTCAAAGGCAGGACCTATATTTAGTGAGCAAATAACATTACTTCATATAATATCACCATCATTATCTTGGTCTGCTTTAGGATAGGATTTGAGGAAGTACGGTCAATCAGAGGAGACATTTGGCTCTTGTGGCCTTGGGCTGTGAATTTTGTAAAACAAATATGGTTCTTGCCCTCAAGAATATTGTATTGAATAGGATGGTTAAAAAATATATATAATCAATAGAAATTAATGATTCATTAATAGCTAAAGGACTTTAATAAGAGGGTATGCATGAGTGAGTCTTAGGAAGTTAGAGGATGAGTAACATGAAGCCAGAAAGAACTCTTGAAAGAACAGAGGAAAAGTCAAATGCTTTTTATTCTGCCGAGAGAGGTCACAATCCACCTTTCAAAACTTTGTCTGGAGTGCAGATAAAAAGTCTTCCCTGGACTTCCAAACCCTTTGGCACTAACAGATTCCTTTCTTTCCTCTAGGTGGATGCTGAGAACAGCAAAGATGGACAGGGTAGACCAAGCATTGTTCTGTTAGGGAGTTGAGTGTTGTGACTAAGAGAACAGGCTTTAAGAACAGAAAAGCCATGTGTTTAAATCCTAGGCCTGGCACTTATGAGCTGTATGACCTTGAGTAGTTTCCTTAACCTTCCAGAGTTTTAGTTTGTTTATTGTTTAAGTGAGGAATAACAGTACCTTCTTCATAGGGCTGTTGTGAGAATTATTTGAGGCAAAGCATATGCTTAACATAATGCTAAATGCTGAGAAGGTACTCAGTTATTATTAAAAGGTGTCTAAAGTACACATTAGCCCACAAAAGCCTATTCAGAAAATAATATGGTTGATCCACTATTATAAGGGCAATAATTGTTATATTAATGCCAAACATTTATTGAGCAAATACCATGTACAAGTCCTTATTCTAGGACCTTACATATATTAACTGAATTAATTATACTAATGACATTACTGAATCCAACCAGTCTTTATAAATTATTTCTAGGGAAAATACTTCTCAAATTTTGTATGTGGGAGAGAAGAAAGATAACACTCCAGTGTCAGTAGAGTCATGGCTGTAGAGACATAGCCAGTGTATTGATGGAAGCCCGAGGGGAAGAGGACAGAGCAGACAAGTCCCGGTAGGGGCTTAAAAAAGCAGTATTTGGGAGCAGGGTTTTCATTCATCACTGAAGAGCTTTGGAAAGACCTGGATTTATGAATACATTTTCAATATTTTTTTTCTCAAGTCTTGCTAACCAGGCCTGGTAGGGTGGGAAGGGGTAGAATTTGAGATTGCTCTAATGCTGAAACATTTGGTATGGCTGAAACTTCATGAACTGAGAGTAGGAAAAATGCTCTTATTTTTCAAGGTGCCCATAGGCTTAGTATAAATTAAAACCTAGCCTCCCTGAGTCTATGATCCCTTCCCCAAACACCGAGAGACAAATGTGCTCAAGACTTACTAATTAGGTGGAACCATCTAATGATTTCATTGCTGTTGCAGCTTCCACTAAGAGAGTGTTTGATTCATGTAAGGCAATCAAAACTATAATCCACTGCTAGCAAATGAAGACAGACAAGAACGTTACTTCTAGTGAGTGTAGTATATCAACTTTGCTTATTATGCACAGGATGACAGGGGATAGGAAAAGGGCTCTGTCTGCTGAAAGACTGCTTAGAATTACTGTCCATTATCCAGGGCAAATGTTTTACAAAACAAAACAGTGACTTCTGCTTAGGGTATCTTTGGGAACTGAGGACAGAAGAGGAAATTGACTACTGGAAAGAATTCCCCTGGTGGCATTTAAGATGATCTAGCCTTCCCTAGTGGCTGTTGTTATTTTCCATATGGATGCTCTTCAGGAGGAAAGCAAGAAAACAAACCAGCATATTTGTTTAGGAAAAAAAAAAGCTGTGATGCTGCAAAACTCATATTAAAATCTACAGCAGCCTGGCTCCTGATAACCTGTGAGTTGCTGGGCGTAACCACCTTTTTAAATCCTGTAATAGAGCAACAACCAACATGTTAGATATAATGATTTTCATTTTAGAGATGAAAAAATTAAGGCTGATAGAGGTAAAGCAACTTTCCCAAGATCAAGTAATAGAGCTGGATTTCAACCTACACATCCCCTCTCTAGAGCCCATGATTAGAATCACTGTGTTGCAGGTCTGTGTCTACAATGGTAACGTTGTGACATAACCGAGCAGTATCAGTGGTGTCCTCCCTGGAAAGGCCTGGCCATCCCAGTGATACGTTTCTGAGTTAGAAGGCATCTTGGACACTCCACAGGTTCTTAACCTGCCTGCACATTGGAATTACCTGGAAAACTGGAAAATAAACTTATACCTGAATCCCACTCTCAGAATTTTGGATTTGACTGATCTGGGTGGAGTATTGTTGGTGGGAAAGGCAGGTATTTAAAAGTTCCCTAGTTGGTTCCAATATGATTCAAAGTTGAGAACCACTGACCAGCCCTCTGGACTGGCAACACTTACGTCCCTAACTGTCAGCATCAGCATCATCTGGAAATTTGTCAGAAATGCAGACTGCCAGGCTTCACCTCAGGTGATTTGTATGCACACTACAGTTTGAGAGAATGGCAGGCAGTGCTCAGCTAACCCCTAAGGGATTAGGAGGACTTAGGGAAAGTGGGAAGGGAAGAACAGAGGGAATTCTGATGTTTTCTCATGATTAACAGGGCTTATGGGTTTTGGGGAGGAAAATAGTGCTGTTCTACCCATATCGTATCAAGAGTACATACTATCAATGTGACTTATAACTATTGATGTTAACCTTGATCACCTGGCTGAGATAGTGTGTGTCAGATTTCTCCACTGTAGCAAATTACTTTTGTCCCTACCCCCTTCCGTACTTTGGAAGGAATTCACTATGCACATTCCTCACTTAAGGAATGGGGAGACATGCTCCGACTTCATGGGGTCAGGGGGACTATCAATTTAAGTTATTTGGAATTCTTCTGTACAGGAGATTCATTTCTTCTCCCTCATTTATTTACTTAGTCATTTATGTCAGTATGGACTCGTAGATGTTTATTATATACTTTGGGTTATAATCCAATACTACTATATTTTGCTCAAATTGTTCCAGCCTTGGCCATTGGGAACTCTTTCAGTTGGATCCTGGGCTCCTTTGACATATTCCTATCATAGGGAATATGAGAATAACATCGCAAAAAAACCAGAAAAGGAAGAATGGCACATAAAGGAACTCGAAGCAGGTCTTGGTGGCTGAAGCAGAGATTACCAACAGATTATTAGATCAACCTTTTCATACAGACGAGAAATGCTTCTTTCTAGGACTAAGGATTGAGCACTGGCTACTTCCTCTGTCTGCCTGGTTCATATCTTCCACTCGAAGTGATACCTTCTCAATAACGGCCTACCCTGGTTTCCTCGTTTAAATCATGATCTTTCCTCTAAACTTGCACTCTCAGACTTCAATATTTGCTCCATTTTTTCCCCTCAACATTTGTAACCTTCTAATATGCTAAATAGTGTATTTATTTTGTCTTTCTTTACTGCACATCCCCACCCTAGAATGTAAATTCAACGAGCGCACAGATTTTGTTTTTGTTCTGCATTGTATCCTCCAGCACTAACAACAGTATCTGACACTTCAAAGAGGTGCTTCACATTTATTTGCTGAGTTAAAATGAATTAATCAATTTACAAAAATTTGGGTTAGTTTATGCTTACTTTATCTAGAGTGGGATTGTGAAATATCAGTCAAAAGCCTTTTCAGGAGTTTAAATGAGTGAAGAACAAGATCAGGTTTGATTTTAGAAAGACCATCTGGCTGTGTGTATCTAGTGGACCCAGGAATGGGGAGGCCGAGGGCTGCACTAAACGCAGGGTAAGGCCAGTTTGGTGACAATGTCAGCCTGCCCTAAGAGAGCAGTGGCTGAAGAAGATAGCATGCATTTGAGGTCTTCTTAGGAAGTAGCATCAGCAGGGGACAGCTCAGGGAGTAAGGAAGAGAGGAGTCATTCTAGGTTTCTGGTTTAGGCAACCAGAAGGATGGAAAGCCATCTGTAGGCAGTGCTGAGGAAGAACAGATATTTGGAGGGAAAAAGTTAAGCTGTTTTGAAGTATTAAAAATTGCAGACTGATGTAACCTGGTGGAAATGTAGATTTCACATTCATTAAACAATGACCTATTACCCTTCTGGCACTATAGTAAGCCCCAACGAGTAAGTGGTAGTCATTCAATGAAGTACCCACTACGTGCCAGACATAGTGTCAGCTCCAGTGGGGAATGAGACAGGTGTGTGGATTCATCCTCCTTGCACTTGCAGAACTTGGAGAAACAGAAAAAATCATGTGAGAGCAATGGGAGTGAGAAGGAGAGAGAGAGAGAGAGAGAGACAGACAGAGATAGTACAAGATTACTTTCAGCTAGGGATTCAGGGGAATGCAGCTTTCTGGTAATGATAGCATTTACAGTGGAGCTTAAAAAGAAATATAAAGTTTAGAAACAGAACAAAGGAAATCAAAAGCATGAAGGCAAACAATCTAAATACTATGTCAGGAATAGTGAATAATTTGGGTTGCCAGGAATTAGGAACATAGAGCCCAGGGTAGGGTGTGTAATGAGAGGCAAACTTGTAAACACAAATGGAAATCGTAGAAAGCCAGGTGAAGGAATTTCAACTGTGAGATTCTGTAAGAGGTTAGCTTGGAACAGAATAGAAATACAGCAACTGTCTATTCAGTGTATCTATGAATCATTTTTGAATGGGGGTAATAGTTGGAACGTGGTGTTTGGAGAAGATACACATGATTTCAGTATGGACAATGGGATAGAGAGAGAAGAAGCTGGGAGATGAGGCTATTTTAGTAGTGTATTAGTTAGATAGCCTATTTACTGTGTCAGATATCCCTACAGTCTAGCGTCAATACTGTAAATGTTTGCCTCTCATTTTTGCAAATCCACTGCAGATGTTTCTGGTTGGGTGGCTCATTTGTACAGACAGCTCTCCTCCAAATTGTGACTCAAGCCCTGGTCTTCCTTATGTGTTGCGGCTTAGCCCTCCTCTAGGTCTTTGGAGTCTCTCCTCCATCCAGCTCACAATTTGGAAAAGAGAAAGGAAGGTATTCTCAAAAGGATTCTATGGACCATCCAGAAAGAGCATATAACACTTCTGCATGCATTCCATTATAGCCAGAACCAAATCATGTGGCTTCAGCTAACTGCAAGGAAGGCTGGGACGTGTAGTCTAGCTGTGTGCCCAGGAAGAGAAGGGAACTGATTTGGTGTATAACAAATCACGCTGTGCCACAAGTAATGAAGTTGAGAGAGAAAGATTAACTGAGGGAATAGAGAGGAAAAGATGCATTCAGTAGATGCTGGGCAAGTGGAATTGGCAGTAAAATTGCTATTGATTGGGCATGGGATGTAGGGTAGGCAAATAATACATTTTTCAAATAAAATTGCTGCCAAGGAAATGATATTTACATCATATGCCATGGAAAACATATGTTAATATTTCCCAGATCTTAGATTGTCATTATGGGCTTTGTAGTTCAGAAGAAAACAAAGGAAAATATTGTAGCAACTCAGGAGAAGATTCACAGAGAAGTTTAGAAGTTCTTGCATCCATATGAAAGCTTTTTATTCTCGCATGTTGTATTAAAGAAAATAATTTCACCATTCATGGTTGCTATTCATGAAAACTTTAAGAAAGCATGTGTCCAGATTTGTGATGTTTAGGAATTCTTAACTGGTTTAACCAAGTAGGGTGAGAATACACAAACTCATATAACTACCCTGACAAATGCAGAAAATCAAAGGTAGCTACTATTATTATGCAGATAAAACAAAGACAATTGGAGAGGAATGGGTCTGGGTTAGATGATCTGAGCACAAAGTAATAAATCATGGCATGTTTGTATAGCATGGTGATACTTTAAAACTCTAATTTTTGCTGTGTTATTTCTCAAAGGAACTTCCAACTGAATTGTAGCTCACCAATACAGGATTCTGGGTTGAAATTTGTTTTGCAGCCAATCTATTGCACAAATTGAGGCAGCTGTGCACAGCATGTGTTTTGTTTCAATGACTATATAGTGAGGGGTGTTATGCAAAGGGCCGCTAATCAGGGAAAAGACTCTCTTCAATTGGCAACTTTTCAGGGCTACATGTAAAGGAGAATTTACATGTTTCATTAAAAGTGAACCATCCTATTGGTTTGTATGCAACCTAGATCATTTAATTTTATGCTAAAAAAAAAAGCTCAGACGTTGTTTGCAGTCCTATGTCTTCCCTCAGTTCATTAGCTTGAATAAGTTCCCTTGGTGGAGAAATTGATTGTAGAACAGTGGGTTTCTTGGGGTTGGTCATTGCTGAATACCTAGATAAGCTCAGTAAGATTAGGCTTGTCTTTTCGTATGGGCTTTGATGATGGCAATCTACTATATTCTCTGGTTAAAATCCTTGTCACACTTGACTTTTGTTTTGCTTAATTTTTACAATGTGTTCAGCTAGAAAAATAAAAGTAGATCGATCTATTTCACTTACTCTAAGTTAAGTTGTTCCTTACACGGATTTCCATGCCTTGGCTCATGTTTGCGTATCTGCACTGAAGCAGCCAGTGCTAATCTATATGAATCTGTTTTATGGAGACAGAAGAAGATGAAGCCATGAATATTAATATCCTATTATCATGTGATGATATTCCAAGCACATATACCATAAAAATCACAAAATGAGAAAGGCAAGGATGCCAGGATATTCTATATAATTCCTGTCCCAAAGAAATGAAGCCAGGAAAGCGCATGAAACAAAGTATGACTCAGGCCTTGCCATAGTAAAAAACTATGGCTCCGAGGTTTCAATTCTGAATTCAATTGTGAAGTCCTAGGGGGTATACCGATGCATCAGGAAAAGTGAACATGGCATCCAGTGTCTTTGTGGATCAATAACATGCAATACATTAAATTGATGGTTTGTGAATGCTATATATATTTCAGTTTAGGTGATTAGCTATCACAAAATCAAGTATGACATTGGGATGTAGCATTTTTCCTCAGTTATTAGAAATAGATCTAATAGATAAGCATGGAATTTTGGCTCTCATAAATCATTTAAACTCACCAATTTTTCCCTAAAAGAAAAAGTGAGGTTCATAGAGGTAAAGCAGCTTACCCAACATGACCCAGCTAATTAGTGACTTGTTTTGCCACATTACATGATAACCCATTTGCAGCAACAGGTCCACAAATATTCTTCCCTTTGAATAAGCATCAAGGCTCTGTCCATTCTTAAGTAAAACATTTCTCTGAGAAAATGGGGCAGTGCAAGGCATAGGAGAAACAGGTTTCCTTCCTCCAACTATCCTTTCTCTAACTATGACTTTGTGCTCCTGTTCTCTTTGGTTGCTATGTTGGTCATTCATTCATTTATTACCCACTGAGCATCACTATGTGGTAGGTTTTCTGCCAGGTTTAACAGAACACCGAGAGAATGGTGTATGAGTATGTTTGTATACTGGATGAGCTAAGTATTGCACTAATTATCAAGTGGTTACCCAGAAAAATAATTTCAAATAATAGAAACATGTTTGGTGCAATGATAACAAAAGGAAGAACTACAGATACAAGTTTATGAAGTGTCATTAAAACAACCCCCAGCAGGATCTGATTCTAAAGTGCAGTGTTTTACTTTCCTTCCCAAGCAAAAGAAATTAAGGGAGATCACTTACTGTGAGCCACAGAATTTGAACCAAACATTAAGCATCTCCTAAAAATAAATTTTCATGGACAACAGTTGCGGGAAACTGCTCAAATTAGTGCTATAAAAATTAAGGTTTATGTTAAGAGC
Organism: Homo sapiens; assembly: GCF_000001405.40. Taxonomy (NCBI): domain Eukaryota; kingdom Metazoa; phylum Chordata; class Mammalia; order Primates; family Hominidae; genus Homo; species Homo sapiens. The sequence continues at coordinate 126,285 of NT_187578.1, forward strand.
TGGAGAACAGATAAAATTCTTAAATAATCCAGTGTTTAAGAGAAGTATATCTTTTATATTTTTGTTTGGGTTGAAAACTGAATTTTTCAAGTATTGTAAATAAGCATTTCCTTGTATGGATTTTCAGTTTGGTGACTTGTTAAGAGTCATATGCCTGAGATCACAGATAATAGCCTCACATCAAAATAAATTTGAATTCTGCTTCATTTTAAAATATGTTTGATTTGTTCACCACACCATTGGTCTTTTTATAAAATAGCTTTATTGTCTTTGGTAGAGTAAGCATAATATTACTATATTCATTCTCTGATTAGCACAATGAACATTCCACCAGCTTTGTACTAAATTATAAGCCCTGGTCTAACTTTCTAATTACAAATGACATGTGGAATACATTTTCTAATTACAGATGACGTAGGTCACAAACAGTTCTCAGATGAGAGTAACAGAAAGAGACCAATCAAGGTAGAGTCATTTGGTGCCTAGTGAAAAAAGCTCTCTTGTGACTAGAAAACTCAAACTGCTATCTGGTTTCCTCCACAGATTTATTTGTTTATTCAAAAATTATTTATCATTTATCCCCTAGTGCTACAGATAAACAGCCAGAGGAATTCCTTGCCTACTTGGAGCTTTCTCTGTGTAGAGAAGGCAGATAATAAGCATATAAGCAATTAATGATAGCGTACCTTCAGATAGAGATGAGTGCCAGGGATAGAAAATAAAATAGGACAGTGGTGTAGATGGAGAGTGGTTGGATGAGGATTTCCTTTAGCTGGGGGATAGGGTAAGAAGGCCCTTCAGAGAAGGTGAAGAGCAAAGTGAGAACAAGTTTAGTCAGAGGGAACAATCAGTGCAAAGACCCTGAAACTGGAACAAGCATGAGGTGTTGAGGGTCAGAAAGAAGGCCAGTGACACAGAAGGGGCACGCGGGAGAGTGTCAGATGAAGCTGGAGATTGGACAGGGACTTGAGCAGGTACAGCAGTGGTTCTCAAAGTGCAGTCACTGGACCAGCAGCATCAATATCATCTGGGAATTCGTGAGTAATGCAAATTCTCCAGGCCCACCCCAGACCTCCTGAATCAGACACTCTGGGGTGGGGCCCAGCCATCCGTGTTCTAACCAACCTTCCAGGTCACTCTGATGCATGCTTAAGCTTGGATCTGCTGATCTAGAGCCTTGTTTGCCATGATAAGGAATTTGAGTTTTAGTCTCTATTGGAAGCTTTCAAGCAAAAGACTGAAATAATGTGACTCTGCCTTTGAGAAGATAACTTTGGCCTTTGTGAGAAGAATGGGCATATTGGTACTTACTCTTTTATGTATATGTTCTGACTAAAAATTGTGGCTCAGCGGGAAAGAACAATTAGCAAATTCATGCTGAGCTCTATTTGCTTTTATTGTGAAGGATAATTGTGTTCAGTCTCATGTTTGAATCCCAGATGTCTGTACCTGAAAATGCAAATAGCAATTCCCTACTGTGAGATGTCAGATAACTGAAATTCAAATACACTTGTGGAAATGCAAACCCATTATCAATTGTCTTTGAGTACTAATGTCTTAAATAAGGCAGATTTTCTAGTTGAAATAAACAATTGACTTTAGCAATGGAATATAATTAGGAGAGTTATTAATTAATATTAGTTGTCTATTTTACTCTGGATATCAGCTCATTTTTGGTATTGTGTGTATGTGTAAGACATATTTCTAAAGTGGAAACTTAACCTTCCTACTATAAAATTCCTCTGGATATTTATTGAGTCTTCAAGGGATGATTCAAGAATGTTCTAGAACAAGTCTTCTTCCACTACTCACATTTGCCATTTCCTCGGCTTCTTCCCTACTTCCCTCTTTTCCTATGATATACCTGATAAAGTTATATGAGGGTATTTTGTCTGTGCCACAACTATCACAGGTAGACCTGTGCCACCTCCCATTACTGGAGGTGTTACCTCTTGTCATATGTCCTTGTGGCACTGTGGTAGCATCCCAGTGGACTAGTGCTATGGCTGCTTTGCTGAAGGGGCAAATCCCTCACACCCCATTGATGCCAAAGTTAGACAGACTAAACCCAAATAAATGCTGCCTCTGCTTCTTCACATCTCACAGATCTTTTGAGAAAAAGCCACTCTTTTTATTCCTGCTTATGCCCCTATCTCTTCTTAGGACTAGACAGGATTCCTAGGAATGGCCAGAGGCAATTCTCCAAGACAAACCCTGAGTTTTCATTCCTTCCCATATATTCTCTTTTCTACCAGCCACCCCGTTTCTCCAGCCGACTGGCTTAACCATTTGTGTATTACTTGAAACTTTGCTGCCTTTGTTTTCTTTGTTTTCTTTTTTTTCATGTATTCTAGACATATGCAGCCACATTAGTGGGTATGTTATGCATTCAAATAGTTATGCATTCAAATAGTGCTAATTAAGTTACCTGAAGCCTGTAACTGACTGTCTTAGGTCAGCTTCTCTGAGATAGAGATTAGTGTGCAGAAAATTTATTGGAGGATGTGCTCAGAATAGCACCTGTGAGGGGGTAGGAAGCTGACTGGACAGAGGAGGGAGTGAAACTGCAGTGCATCACCACAGAGGCCTTAGACAATCCCACGAGGAGCTCCAAAGTGGGGAAAGACCTTCAGAGTCATCCCAAATTGAGGCAAGGGAGCTGCATCTAGGAACCCCCTTATATGACCTGGGTAGGGGGCCTAACCTTGGGCAAGGCGGCTCCCTTAGAAAGGGCAATTTCCAAAAGGGACACAGGTGTGAAAACCAGCACCTTTGTCCCGAAGAATGGGGAAGCAGATATGGGTTCTGTACCACTATCCACTACAGTTGCAGAAAGACCTTTCACTTTTATATGTGAGGGGGAAACAGAATTTGTAAATGTTTATGATCATTCCTTTTCATACCTTTGATGAGCTAATGGCCGATAGGTGAAAAGTAGACCTGGAGGAGCTAGGAGAAAGTCAAATGGCTTTACCTGGAAGAAAAGAGAGTCTGGAATGGAGGAGGAGGAGAAGGAGAAGGAGAAGAAGAAGAAGAAGAAGAAGAAGAAGAAGAAGAAGAAGAAGAAGAAGAAGAAGAAGAAGAAGAAGAAGAAGAAGAAGAAGAGGAGGGGGGGAGGGGGAGGGGGAGGGGGAGGGGGGAGGGGGGAAGTCAAAGGCTCCAGGTAGGGTCAGAGAAGTGTCAGTGAGGCTGAGTTCTGAGATCTGGCAACAAAAAAGGGCTAGATGTGAGCAGGTCCTGTTCAGAGTAGAATGCAGAAAACCCTGGGGACAGACAACGATATTTAAAAAGTTGTTTTAGGAAATCTTTCTGTGTGAAGTAAAATACAACTTCCTTCCTGATCTCCTTGAGAATCTCTAGTTAAGATTTTCAGTTTTTTGGGAATCAAATTTGTGTGTGCTTCTAGATTTTTTTCCATGTTGAGATTGGCCTTAAGGTTGGGACCTATAAGTTAAAGTAAATCTGGCCAGGCATGGTGGCATACTCCTATAATCACAGCTACTCAGAGGGCTAAGGCAGGAGAATCACTTGAACCTGGGAGGTAGAGGTTGCAGTGAGCTGAGATGGTACCACTACACTCCAGCCTGGGCGACAGAGTGACTCCATCTCAAAATAAATAAATAAATAAATAAATCTCTTGGCCATTTCTGCTAGTACTTGCTCCAGTCTATTTCCTTTTTGCTCTCCTCTATCTTCATTCCCTCCTGTCTCAATTCTTGTATGTTTCTTAGTACGAAAAAAAAGTATTCTCAGTTTCTCATACAGAAAAACTCAGCCCTCTTCCTATCCCCACCCTCAAGCTTGATTCTGACCTCCTTTTGTACACACAAAGATTAATTAATGTCATCCTCTAAACAATGTGCTAGATTGTCAGGGTCTTACCCTTTCATGTATGTTTTATTTAAAAATAGTGTTTTGAAAAATATTTTTAAAGTTATATGTGTGGATGGTATTGAGTTAAATATTTTAATATGTTGGTGAGGAAATGCCATCCTCCCTACCACTTTCACCTCCCTAGAAGCATCTACTTTCCATGTTTTAAAGTAAATTTCCTCTCAGCAGTTTCCACTCATGTTATCTTCTTGTAGAAATCATTCCCATGGACTTCTGACCTGGCCCAGTCTGGTCTGGTGAGCTCCTAGGCAGGCTGCATACATTTTATTCTGCCATCTCCCTTTGCTGTCATCCTGGAGATTCTCTTTTCTGCTTTCTTGTGTAAAATCCTCTGTTTCCTGAAATTCATTATTTCTACTTTCTTAATTTACTCCTTTGTTTTGCTGGAGCACATCTCTCAGTATCTTCCCAAGAAAGGATACACAAGAGGGAAGGTTTTGTTGTTGTTGTTGTGTGTTTTGTTTTAGAATTTTCATGTCTGAATCTGTTTCTCTTTTATCCTCATGCTAAATAATAATAGTTGGGCATGTAAGGGCTTCTAGATCAAAACTCACTATTTCCTTCACATCTTGAAGGTATTGCTCTATTATCTTTTCATTTTGATTGCCTTTTTTTTTTTTTTGAGACAGAGTCTAGCTCTTTCGCCCAGGCTGGAGTGCAGTGGCACGATCTTGGCTCACTGCAACCTCTGTCTCCCAGGTTCACGCGATTCTCCTGCCTCAGCCTCCTGAGTAGCTGGGATTACAGGTGTGCGCCACAACACCTGGCTAATTTTTGTATTTTTAGTAGAGGCTTGGTTTCACCATGTTGGTCAGGCTAGTCTTGAACTCCTGACCTCGTGATCCACCTGCCTCAGCCTCCCAAGTGCTGGGATTACAGGCATGAGCCACCACGCCCAGCCTAGACTCTCCATTCTTTATAGGAAAGCCTATTTTTTTCTCATTCTGGAAGTTTCTGGCATCTTTTAATTCTCCCTAAAATTCTGAAATTTTACTGTGAAATTTCATACAATGTCTTAATAGGAATCTATTTTACCCATTACACTGGGCCATTAGGCTAGTCAGAGCTTTAAATCTAAGATTTATATCTTCCATGTGTAGAAAATTTCCTTGAGTTTTTTTTCACTGACAGTTCCTCTCTTCTGTTTTCTCTGTTCTATCTGATGATTCGATTTTTGAAATGTGAACATATTTAGAATCTCTGCATACTATGGAGAGATTTGTTGACTCTGGCCTTTACTGTAGGGTGATTGGATGGACTCTTTTCTTACAGAACTTCTGATATGGCTGGGTGCAGTGGCTCATGCCTGTAATTCCAGCATTTTGGGAGGCTACCCTAAGAGTTCAAGACCAGCCCGGCTGACATGCAAAAGCCTTGCCTTTACAAAAATTAGCAAGGCATGGTAGCACATGCCTGTAGTCCCAGCTGCTTGAGAGTCTGAGATGGGAGAATTGCCAGAGCCTGGGGAGGTTGAGGCTGCAATGAGCCATGATTGTGCCACTGCATTGCAGCCTGGGCAACAGAGTAAGACCCTGTTTCAAAAAATAAAATAAAAATAAACAAAAACAAACAAACAAGCAAACAACTAACCCCCACCAAAACAACAACAACCAAACAACAAAAATACTGATATCAATATCTTTAGAATTTTCTCTTTGGCTGGTTACAATCCCCAGAGAAATCTCTTCTAATCCCCTGCATGTCTGCCAACCTCCGGGAACTGAGAGATGGAAAGGGGCTGAGGTCTGAGCATTCAGTTTGTAAATGCTCTATAATTCTATCGTTTTCAGTATGGGGCTTTGCACTCAACTGTTTGGAGACCCTTTTTTCCCATTCCTGAGAATAGAGCTCCAGGTTCTACTAAGATGGAGAAAGAACAATGGTAGTAGACTAAGGAGGAGCAAATGCTTCCTAAACACTCTTCTAACACATCTTCCTGTGTTTAGCCGTATCATCTTTCTCCCTTTCAGAAGTATCTGGTGCCATTGATTCCGGAGCCTAGTGGGAGTTCTGCAGTGTAGAACAGATTGTTTCTTGCCTTTTCCTGCTGCTGATTTAGAATTCTGCTTTCTCAGTCTACCAAGTCAGTTGTCACCCATCCTTCCATTCTCTAGCCCCCAACATTTTAGATTATTGTCTCCTCTCCCATTTTCCTTTGTGAGTTCAAGCATTTAAAAAATATCTTGCTTGGGATTTAATGTGGTTTGGGGGGTGGGTGCAGAACTAAGTATGTGCTTTTTTTTAATTTTTATTTTTTTGAGACAGAGTCTCGCTCTGTCACCCGGGCTGGAGTGCAGTGGTGCGATCTCGCCTCACTGCAACCTCTGCCTCCCTCCCAGGTTCAAGCAATTCTCTGTCTCAAACGCCTGCCACCACGCCCAGCTAATTTTTGTATTTTTAGTAGAGATGGGGTTTTACCATCTTGGCCAGGCTGGTCTGGAACTCCTGACCTCATGATCCACCCACCTCAGCCTCCCAAAGTGCTGGGATTACAGGCATAAGCCACCATGCCCGGCCAATGCATGTATTTAATTCACCACTTTAAATCAGAAATGCCTTCCAATCTATTTCCTCCCCTCTAGTCTCTGAATTGGGTTAGAAGAAGTGGAGAATTATATGAATTATGGCATCTCTATCCCTATACTTCCCCATTAGAAATCAGAAATAGGTACAGTAAATTTAGATTAATTTTTTTCTCTGTGTTACATATCGACATGGTCCAATTCTGTTTCTGCTTAACGTAAGATGAGCAGAGATGTATTTAAATCTTAGAAAAAGGAATGGAGATTAGGTAATAGCAGAAATCTCCAGACTGTGTGGGATGTTGAAATGTGTTATCAGGGGAATCCGCTGAAGCTTGTGAGTAGCTGAATTGACACAGAGCTAGGAGCATAAGCTTGGATCTTAACTTGGCTGGCATTGCCTTTGTAAGGCACAACAATTGGTGCAAGAAGAAGCACACTCTTTTCTTTGTCTGGATTAGGAAATATCTGCAATTTTAAGCAGGTGCAATGCTCTGGTTGATGCATCTTTAGATATTGAAGAGTTGTCCCTGAGATCAAGTCAGTTACATCCAATTAATGTCTGGGCTTCATTTTTGAGAGTGGAGGATGTAGTGGCTGTCAGACGGGCAGTGCCTTAGAGACAACTGTGGAGGGGAATAAGGGGCTCTAGCTATGGGTTTGAAAACCACCACATGTAATCCACCTATTAATACTATATCTTCCAATTTCTTGTTGAAAAAGTGGTGTCTGATTACCCTGTTACTATTACAGTCCCTAGGTTTACTTGCTCAGCCATTTGTTTTTCTTCTCTGTTATCTCTCATATTAGTTACAACATTAGCTTACCTAGATATTTTGGGGGTAATTTTTTTCTCTCTTCTGGTGAGAGTGAGGGGGTGTTGGGGTAAGCAGAAAAGCATTCCTCCTCCCCCACCAAGGAGGGGATTTTTATTTTTATTTTTTTAGGAAAAAAGTGGTTTGCCCCTGTGAAGTTCACCTTAGGTGATGAGATGTTATTGCATATGGTGAATCCAGTGCTGCAGGGAGAAAGCTATCTTTGCCATGCATTAAACTGGATTGGATATATGTTTAACTGCAAAGTCAAGCTCGTGAAAATAAAGTTGTCATTTACTAGTTTGCACTGGAAGCTTGGCCACTCCTTACCTTTTCTGGGTTTTAAATTTGGAACGATAATGCTGGTATACTGATTATTTATTTGGCAAGGATTTTCCAGTCCCATGTGTTATTCAGGAGTAAAGATCATGGGCTTTGGGGAGAGATAAACCTGGGTCTAAATGTGTGTGACTTGGATCAAGCAAGTTAATCTTTCTAAATCTCAGCCTTCTTACTTGTAAAATGGGGATGATGTGAATGTTCCTCTTAGGGTTGCTGTGAAGATTAAATAAGCAAATATAAGTAAATTGCTCAGCATGTGCCAGTGAGGGACAACTACTGTCATCACCCTGATTTTCATTGCTGTCATGACTATTCAAAGATACCGAATATCAGAAGGGAGAAGAAGGAGAAAAAGGAATTTCCTAAGTGGCATGGGAGTAAGCTGAGGCCCGGCCTTTTCTTTAGAATCTAGTTTAAGGACTGTAAACGCCTGATTCTACAGCACAGATCAGCAAATGAATCCTGCTTTATGGAACAGGAACGTACACTAGTTCTCTCTAGAATTTTTGTTTTCTTTTTTTTGAGATCGAGTCTCACTCTGTTACCCAGGCTGGAGTGCAGTGGCGCAATCTTGGCTCAAGGCAACCTCCGGCTCTGGGGTTCGAACGATTCTCCTGCCTCAGCCTCCTGAATAGCTGAGATTACAGGTGTCAACCTGGGAGGTGGAGGTTGCTGTGAGCCCAGATCGTGCCAATGCACTCCAGCCTGGGTGACAGAGCAAGACTCCATCTCAAGAAAAAAAAAAAAAAAAAGTTATGCAAAATTGACTGGAAAGAATAGCATGTAGTAAATGAAGCCTTTTTTCTTTCTCCTGTTATTAAATCAAATGCATTTCATAAAGGAGCAGGAGCCTCTTAAATAAATGCAATGAAGCCTCCCGTAAGCATTTACTCCAGGGACTAACAAAAATCAATTGGTTACTCAAGGTAGATCTTTAACAAAAGATTGAATCAAAATGACATTGAAAATTACATCTACACCATAAAGCAGTGTCCCCGTAAGAGGAGTGATCGCTTACCATGCAGCATCCTCAGTGTAGATTCCTTTATCTATTTTAAAGAAGAAGGCTTGATTGAGGAATGCCGCATTGAATACGAAGATTTATTCTTTCATCTGTTTACTTATAAATGCTCAGATTCTTTATTTTAAATAACTAAGAGAAAGAAAGAATATTCCCAAGCCTTATAAAAACAAGAGTAAGTACAGTCATGCATAATTCTCATGAGACCTCCACCTTGGCTGATACTGCCTAATTAATCTTTACAGCTCATCTGTAAGGAGGATGCAGTTTAAATGTGTCCCAATCTGTAGATCTAATAACTATGGAGCATAGAAGATAAATTGTGTTTGGCCTGAGTGGCTGGGTTTAGAGGAGTTCTCTACAGTCACTATAATGAGGCCTATTCTAAGCTTTGCACACAAGGGGACTTTGACTCAGAGCTTTCTGTGTGGGATTCCTGGGAGGCTGTCTAATCAGGGAAAATTTGTTGGAAATGATCAGGTGGTCCTAGCCATTGGAGGAGTAACACAGTCTGTGCTATGCTTTTGAGACCTGCTTGGACCCAGTCTCTTTTCTAAATTCCAGGATCTGGATAGGTTGAAGATGCTGTGCCCAGCAAGGTACATGGTGAAAATTCCTACCAGTGATACTAAAGGAACTAAAACTCTTATGCATCACCAGATGCCTATGGAGGCGGTTCCCTAAGAGTGAAAGCAGTGTGGCAATGATGATGCTGACATGATGATGGTGACAGTGATGATGATGATTTATTTAATGCTGCTCTGGTAGGCCCAGAGCCACATGCTCTATTTTCTTTACCTTTAATCTACACAATCTTCTGTGCAGTTGGTACTATTATAACACCAAGTTTATAAAGGAGAAGTAAAGTCTCTGGCTTTTGTTAGGAAAGAAAAAAGCGGAAAACCAGAGCTTCATAGAGGGAGTCATGCTTTTCTAATGTACGATGTGACAGTTTGCTTTGCAAGGCTTCTTTGGTTTGTTACAGTTCTGTTCAATTTTTGATTCAAGGATTTCTTTGGGACATGGTATGTAGGTCTTTGACTAGGTACTAAGCATAAAGAAAGGAAAATAGGCCTAGTGCCTATCCTTAAGAAATTCAGTCTACCTTGGGCTACAAACCCAAATTCTTTCAGGGACAATCATGCTGTGTGACATCGATGAATATGACAGTGTGACAGGGCCTGAGTCTGGCCAGAGAATGCATGTCCCACCTAAAGGTGTTCCAATTAAGATAAACAGCAATGGCAACAAAAATCCTTGCCACATAAGCAGAACTCCTCTCTGGGATGGGTTAGGCCTGGTCATTATTTTTGTGATTCATGGGCTAGTTATTTCTTTATTCCTTGACCAATAGAATGTTTGTTATTTTTCATATTAAAATAAAACACAGTTTCTGTACCTCTCTGCTGTGGAAGCTTAGGAGCCAATGGATAGCCATGATCTCCTGCTTTGAGGATACCACTGTAATGGGAATGGAGCAGGTTCACAGACAGAAACAGACACAAGAGGGAGGGGGTGAAAAAGAGTCCAGATGGCATTCATATCCCTGGCCCCAGTTGTCTCCAAGGCCCAGTGATACATTTCCTGCAATTTGGTTGTTCAACTATTTATTTAGTTACAAAAAAAGATACTCTAGAATATCTTTCCAAGATCCTTTTCTTTGGCTAAAGCTAGTTTAACTTCAGTTGCTACCCCTTGAATCTAAAAATGACTTGACTAATTCACAGGGCTGCCTGTGAGGTCAGTAAGGAAGATGAAGGAGGTAGGGGAGAGTCAAGGATGAGAGGATGGGATCCATCTACAGAGCACATGGCCAGATGGGGCAATTTATAATCATAATCCTAAACATAGAGGCATGAAGTCTTAGAAACAAACATTGGGGCCAACATTAAAAGACAAAAGATACTATAGGAATAGAGGGGGAAAAAGCGATAGAAAAAATTCAATTCTTATTTGGAAGTGAAGTCATAATTCATTAACTTTTGCCAGAAAGTTTTTAGAAAATGGATCCCGTTATTCCTCAGTAGGTCAAAGACAGGGACTTTAAATGAGGCTGGGGCTAGTTTTCAGAAGAATGTGGTACTGGAGGCACTGGGGTAATCCGTAAAGTGGACTCACTTCTTTAGCTTGTCCCCAGAACTTACTCTGGCTTCTTGGGGTTCCACTTCCCTCATTGGAAATGGACCGGGGGGGGCTCTACTGTCTTCATCCCAATCAAGACCTTAACTCTAAGTGTCTCTTTGCCTTGTTCCTGATCTTAGGTTGGAAATTTTCAATCTGTCATCATTATGTATGAGGTTAACCATGAATGTTTTGTAGATGCCTTTTATCAGGTTGAGGAAGTTCCCTTCTATTCCTAGTTTATTGAGTGTTTTTATCATGAAAGAGTGTTAGATTTTATGAAAAGTCGATCATGTGCTTTTTGTATTTTAATCTATTGATATGATGACTATGTTCATTTGTCTACTGTCTTTAATGTAGCTTCTTGAACACTGAGGACATTTATCTCTGTATACTCAACTCATGTCATCACTTGAGCTCTTTGATAGCAGATATTAGGCTAGAATTTGGGGCACAAGAGTTTTACTGGGGATCGGCACTTATGGAAGAGGTGGGAGGAAGCAAGATTAGGCAGGGGAAGAAGGTAAACGGTGATATATGTCTGACAAAATCTCAGCCAATCTGTCAGGGAGCTCTGGGATAGGAATTTTCCATCAGAGTTGTCCTATGATGGGTCAAAATGATTGGACCTTTTTGCCCATTTTGCTCAGTAACCAAATGTGGTCTACCCCATGAAGGGTGTGTCCCATAGCCAGGTAGCTGCCTACAGCTGAAGTGACTGTGAAGATGCTTATATCTGGAGGCTGTCTTCAGTAATCTTCCCCTGAAGGGTGATCTGGGCTATACATTACTATGTCAACCACACCACTGCTCATAGAAATCTGAGACTCTCACCCAACATTTGTTCTAGTATCAGAGGTTTCAGTCACAGAGTAGAACAGAAGTGTGTAGATAACCTTTATATCCTTGGTCAAAATCTATATACAAAATCTGTATAGTAGGCCAATAGCCACAAATCCATAAGCAGGTTCCCATACTCCTTCATGGACTTCTTACCAGCACAGAAAACTCTATATCCACAGTGTTCCAAGGCTTTGATGACTAATCTAAATATTATCTCATGAGAAGCAGGTCAGCCCCAAATAAAAAAATATTTGAAAGTCTGGGAGCAGCAACTCAGGCCTATAATCCTAACACTTTGGGAGGCCAAGGAGGGTGGATCACTTGAGGTCAGGAGTTTGAGACCAGCCTGGCCAACATGGTGAAACACCATCTCTACTAAAAATACAAGATTTAGCTAGGCATGGTGATGTACACTGTAATCCCAGCTACTCAGAAGGCTGAGGCAGGAGAATCACCTGGATCCAGGAGGTAGAGGTTGCAGTGAGCCAAGACTGCGCCACTGTACTCCAGCCTGGGTGACAGACTGAGTGAGACTCTGTCTCAAAAAAAAAAAAATAAAATAAAAATAAAAAAAATTGAGATTAGATTTGTATTTTCTATGATGACAGATAATTCTTATAAAATCTAAGAAGTGAAGTTTTACTGACACTCTCTTCATTTAAGAAAGGAAATTTTTAATTGAATATGTACTTTAATGTCCCTGTTTTATGTTTATTTATTCTGCTAGTCTTTTCTCATTGTCATCTTCATTTTTCTACTAAAAGTCTCCATACATGTTATTCAGGAAGCCATAGAAATCATGAGAAGAAAAGAACGAGAGATGTAAAAATTATATCTACTTCTACCAAAGAAACGTTTATAAAATGTAGGATAAATACTTGGCTTGCTGTGGGTTTCACTTTTTATTCACTCTAGCTTTGTTTCTCTAGGTCTCACTTTAGTGGCCCTCTAAAACCAATGTAGACTGGGTTGAATTTACTTGTTCTTTGTTCTCAGAAAATGTGGCATAATGAACAGGAAACCACATTTACACTGATGTGAAGTGTCAATACATTTTATGTAAATAAGTCTCTAGGGTCTTACATAGATTATCTGGGAAGTGGGAAGGGAGAAATTAACCCATTCAGTGTTGCTAATCATTGATCGTAATCTTTTCTAGAAGTGAGAGTGACTATTTGGTATTATTTTATTCAGAATTGTCTACGTATTGTTTTCTGTGTCAAATGTTTCTTCCACAAATGAAATCACCAATCATTCCTTTAATCTGAAATTTGACTCATTAATAACAGGTGTTAGATGTATCTCTGTCTCTCTGATAAATGCCAGCACTAAGCAGAGAGACTGGTACATGGTAGAGAGTTTGTCAACACTGCACGAACAAATGCTTTTAGGCCTTTTCAAGTACAAATTAGAAGAGGACCCTTACTGATAGTTTGGAATATGAAAAGAAGCATCAAAATTTCCCCTGCCTTCAATTCTACCCTCCTTATCCTCATGGAAATGACTAGTTGAATTTAGATATTGCAGGGAACATCAAGGAATTTCTGATAAAACGGTGCAGGTATGTCCAGATGGAAAGTGACTTTGAGGACCAATAAAGAATTTGTGGTAAGAGTACAGAAAATCTACTCTCAGCAAATTTCCAATATGTGCAATGATGGTTGTTCATTTACCTGATGGCAGTAATCACTTCGGTATGTATATTAAAACGTCATGATGTACACCTTAAATGTATAAAATTAAAAATAAAATAATTATTGAAAAAAAGTAATTCTAATATAAAAATATTTATTTGCTTATGAAACGACTGTCTCCTCTCTATTTATAGAAGTCAGATAGGCCATATAGTAGGCAAATGAAATTGCCAGATGAATAGCATAGAAGTTGAAAATAAATAGTCTCACTTTGTGTTTCCTTTCTTTTAAAAAAAATAAAACGCAGAGTTTGGTTCTGTAATATTGAGCAACTGTTGATTTTCATGATAGCTATATCAGAACATCTTAAGTAATCAGCAATAAAATTTTCCATTGTTGAGCTCTATATGAGCAAAAAGACATTTTTTTATTGCTCTCACCCTGTAAAATGCTTTGAGGAAATTACAGCAAGATTACAATGAGAAATGGTTGGCAATGATATTTCAGCTGTCATTTATCTTATAGTAATCACTTTTAACCTGCTTAGCCTTTTATTATTCCATGTCTAAAAATCTCCTTTATAATGAAATTACAACATTAAATGGAAAGTAACAACACAAACACAAAAGAGCTACTCATATTTGCTGTGCTGCATCATTACTGATCCTGGAATGTTAGTACTCAGCTGATGAAACAAATATCTTGACACCTTACAACAATTATAAATCATGAACATTTAAAACTCACAGGGATTACCTTTCCTGGTGAGTTGTCATGGATCTCTGATTCCTGATAAGCTAATTCTAGGAGACTGGCGTATAATAGTGGGTAACTTTTATTAACTATGTAGTATTTGGCAGGCATTATGCTAATATGTGTTAAATCAGTTTTATCATTCAATCCTCACAACAGCCAAATGAGAAAGTTCTTATTCTCATTTTACAGATTATTAAATAGATGTTCAAAAAGTTAAGGGACTTGCCCAGGAATACATAGTAAGTAATAAAGCTAGAATATAGATAGATAGATAGATAGATAGATAGATAGATAGATAGATAGTAGTTAATTGTTGTTAACCAAACACATTGTTATTGTAACTAGTTTAATTAAATATATTTTGAAAAATACTATTAGTATTCTCATGATTATATTCACTGTAGAAAAATCAGAAAACAAGAAAAGTGTTAAGATGAAGATAGAAATCGCCCACGCTTTCCTTTAATGCTTGTCATTGTTTAGATATACACGTGAAGTACAAAGTTGGAATAATATCGGACCAAATGTAACCTGCTTTTCCATGTAAAAATGTAGTATGAACATTTGTTCATATCATTAGTTTTCTTCTAAAATGGTATTTTAATAGTGTTTAACACATGATATTTCACCTTATAAATACATGGTTTAGTCAGCCAACTTCTTATTTTCATTTTGATTTGTTTTTCTAATTTTTCATCATTATAAACTTATCACAGTGAACCTTCCTGTTTAAGAGTCTCTTGTTATTTTTAATTATTATAAATTAATTGAGATTGAGTCAAAATTACTGCTTTAGAAGCATTTGATACATATTTCTAAACTGTCCTGGGGCAGATTTTTGCAAGATGTATTAGTTGTCCAGGGCTGCAGTAACAAAATACCACAAACTTGGTGGATTAGTACAGCAAAAATTTATTGTCTCACAGACTGGAGGCTTGGAGTCTGAGAACAAGGTGTTGGCTGGTCTGTGCTCCCTCTGAAACCTGTAGGGGAAGGATCATCTCTTGCTTTTTCCAGCTTCTGGGAGCCCCAGACATATTCCTTGGTTTGTGGCAGCATGACTCCAATCTTCACACAGCATATTCTCCCTGTGTCTCTTCACACTTTCTGCCCTCTGTGTCTGTATTCAAATTTCCTTTTTATATAACGACATGAGCCCTAGTAGATTAGAACCTCTTAACTTGGATAAATCTGCAAAGACCCCGTTTCCAAACAAGGTCACATTCTGAGGTATAGGGGGTTGTGACTTCAGTGTATCTTTTTGGGGGGACATAATTCAACACATATCACCAAGTATACAATCTTTATCAATGTATAAGAGTCCTTATTTCCCTGAAATTTCACCAGGACTGCATAAAATTTAATAAATAAAAAAGATTTCATGTTTGCTGATTTAAAGATGAAAAACTGTGTGCACACACATGCAGGTGTTGTTTGATTTCTATTGAAATTGTGCATTTTCTTATGGATGATTATGCTTTCCCTCAATCCACCCTTGACCCACCCCAGTCTGGCTTCCAGAGTGCCAGTAGCCTCCTTCCACCTGAGTTCAGTGTTCACGTCTCCGTTTTTTAACTGCTATAACCTCTTCAATAGTAATGCATTCTGAACCTGGGAGGCGGAGTTTGCAGTGAGCCGAGATCGTGCCACTGCTCTCCAGCCTGGACGACAGAGCAAGACTCTGTCTCAAAACAAACAAACAAACAAACAAACAAACAAACAAACAGTAATGCATTATTGGGACCCACCTTTCCTTCTTGAAACATATTTTAAGTTTGCCTTGCATGGCTGTGCCTTTCTGGTTTTCTTCCTTTCTTCTTGGCTGCTCCTTTTCAACTTCATGTGCTTCTTTTTTTTTCCCCATCCTCTAAATTCCACTGTTCTTCATGGTTGTGTGCTAGGTCCCTTCCTATCCTCCTTCCCTCCCTTTCTTTTCCCCTCCTCCCTTTTCTTCTTCCCCCCTCCACTGTTCCTCTGCTTGGTAGCCTAAATTACCACATATGTTAATCAATCTCAAATCTGCATCTCTAATCTAGAGTTATTTTCTGATCTTCAGACCCATGCATGTACCTGACATCAGTATTGCAGAACTCCAAATTCAATGTGTTTAGAAGTGAATCAACACCTTTCTCCTTAACCTGTTTCTCCCCTCCTATGTTTCCTTACAGAAACACCATCTCATATAGTTGCCCAGGACAGAATCTTGGTATCATCCTCAATCCCTCCTCTCTCTCACTGTGTTAATTTTTTATTGCTGCTCTAACAAATTGTCGCAGAATTAGTGATTTAAATGTACAACTTTAGTATCTTACATTTCTGGAGGTCAGTAGTTCACAATGACCCTCACTGAGCCAAAGTCAAGATGTTGGCAGGGCGGCATGTCTTCTGGAGGCTCTGGGGGAGAATCTGTTTTCTTGCTTTTCCTAGTGTTCCTTGGGTCATAGCTGCCTTCCTTCATCTTCAAACCCAGCAAGTTCAGCCTAAGTCCTTCTTACACTGCCAATTCCTCTGGCTCTCTCTTTTGTCTTCCTCTTCCACCCTTAAGGCTCCTTGTGGTCACATTGGGCCTACCATGATAATGTAGGATAATCTCTATATTTAAGGTCATCTGGTTAGCAACCTAATTCCATCTGCAACCTTAATCCCCCTTTTCTGTATAACCTAGTATATTCATAGATTCTGGGGATTCGTCCAGGGACATCTTTGGGTAGTTATTATTCTGCCTACCATACCTTTCTTAGCTAATTAGCTACTCCATCTAAAGGCTTTTATCTCTTAAATATATCTCAACCATTCCAGTTTCCTTTTCCTTTCTTGTCTTGACTTGCAATTCGGATCTCATCAACTCTCACTTGAATTGTGCAGATAATCTCCTAACTGGCCTCCCAGCTTTTGGCTTTCTCCTTGCCAAGGCATTCGAAACGCCTCCTTCCCTCTGCACTTCTTAACGTGAAGCATGGGTCCCCTCTTGATGTATCCATTGCTTACATCCCCAGCTGCTTCTCTTGACACTCTCTCCTTGCACCCTTTATTTCAGCTGCTTCTGAACTTCATCTTCCTCCAGCACAACATGCTCTCTCTCACCTCTGGGCCCGTACACCTGTTCCTTCAAAGTAGAACACATTGTGTTTCTATCTTTGTCTTGCTAAAGTCTACTTCTCTTTCAGGTGTCATTTTAAATGTCACTTTCTTTAGGAAGCCTCTGCTGATCCCCGTCCTCCAAATTGTTATATGTCCCTACTTCCCTATTTCAGAACCTATTAATTTTGTGATTTATTGTTGTTGTTGTTTATTTAACTATCTCTCTGCTCTTCTTGACTCTAAGTTTCATCAGGACCAGGAGGGAGTCATATCTGTCCAGTTTATCACTCCTAGTATATTTTTAGTGCCTAACTGGTATTTGACATAGTAATTTCTCAACATAAATTTGGTGAATAAGGGTATCACCATAGTTTAAATCCTTATTAAATAAAATGGGTGCCCAGTCCAGCCTTGCCTACCTCTTGAGCCTTATCCTACCTCTCTGTGCCCCATGCACACTGGCCTTTCAGCATTTCCAGGGGCCCTTACTCCCTCGTGCTGCAGGAACATTGCACCCTGCGTCCTGTCTCTGAAGTGAATTCCCATGTCCATGCTTATCCTCCAGATCTCGGCTCAGGGCTCACCTCTTCAGGGAAATCTTCCTTGACTTCCATCTTATTACGGACTAATTGTTTGTGTCCCCTCAAAATCCATCTATTGGAACCCTGATTCTCGCTGTGATGGTATTAGGAGGTGGGATCTTTGAAAGGGAATTACGGTTAGATGAGGTCACGAGGCGAGGGTCCCCATGATGGGATTAGTGTCCTTATAAGAAGAGGAAAAGACTGGAGCTTACTCTTCCTCTCTTCTTTGTGAAGACACAGTGAGAAAATGACCATCTGCAAACCAGGAAGAGGGCCCTCACCAGACACCAAATCTAATAGCACTGTGGTCTAGGACTTTCCAGCTTCCAGAGAAATAAATGTTGTTTAAGCTACTGCTACCGAGCCTATGGTCTTTTATTATGGCAGCTTGAGCTTTAGACATACTCTCACTACTTTCTAAGGAAGGAAGGAGAGAGGCAAGTCACCAGCTTTGAGTCATTTTCAAATTTGATAAGAATAACAATAGCACTTTCATCTAAATTATAGACTAAAAGCTTGAACAGGATTGAGCCAAATACAGAAACCTGGGAATGCTGAAACTTCCCTCCAAGTTAATACTAATCCATTAATCAACACTCTCAGTTATTAATAGGCTGCCACCAAGCCCATGTAGAAAATATGAACGATAAAGTAATCACTGGGGAATCTTGAAAGCTAGATTTAATATTTCAGAAAAATTCATTCATTAATTTATTCACTCAATTGAGTGCCCACTTAATATGTAGCCCTGACATTTTTAACTGAATATTTTGGTCATGGGAGCTATAACAGAGCTTAGAAACTTCAGAATGTCAGCCTTCTGCCTATTCAGAAGTCATGTAATTAGTTCCTTGTCTGTTTTGATGCATCTAGCAAACATGCCACAACCATGGACCAATTTTGCATTCAACCCTATGTTCTTCTACTTTAACTTTAAAATTTTCATCCATCTACTCAACTGACATGTAAGTGCATCACTACTACATAGCAGCCACTTCCATCTTCTTTGCTTAAATGAAATGGAGATTGTGACTACCTCTTTTCACTAGATCAGCCTTGGGGCTTTATCATCCCAGAAGTAGTCAAGGCCCAGAATGCATGATGACCAGGAATCTGTGAATCATTGCCAGCATTCCTGGATTACTCACCAAAGGAGCAGACCATTGTTTCCAGCTCCAATGCAACATTTGATTTGTAACTTGCAGTTTTTCTGAAAGTGTGATAGGATACATGTTCTCTCTCCCAACCCCTTGTTCATGTGATCATCAAATCCCATAATTTTTACCTCTTACCTCCCATCTGCAGCTCTCCTGCTCCTCCTTTATCCAGGGCATCATCATCATCCATCTGAATTGCAGCCAGAATATTCTAGTAAGCTCCCTTCTTCCTGCCTTGCCACTCTCCGGATATTCTTCATATGGTAGCCAGAGTGATATTTCTAAAAGACAAATCAACTCAAGCCATTCTCTTTCTTAAAGACCTTCAGTGGCTCCCTATTACCCATGGGCTTATGTCTAATCTCCTATCAAGACACTTAAGGCCTTTGCTATCTGGTTCTAACCTTCCTCTATAGCTCGCATTTTTTCTATTCTCTGTATAGTATCTTTGGCTCCTTTCATTTCCCTGATTGTATTACCCTCCTGTGCCTTTGCAGTTGCTAGTGTTCTTTTGCAACATCCTACTTTCTCTGTCTTGCTGAATACACAGGAATGCAGAATGCACTCAAACACGCCAGAGAAGCTCTCTGGAGCACACCCACCTCACCAAACCCATGCATAATTAGGCATTCTTTCCTTTATATTTTTATGTTTATAAAAATCAGATTAGATTAATAGATTATTGATCCCTTGAGCTTAGGACTGTTTTATTTTCCTATATCCCTCAAAACTAAAACATGCAGCTATACATTATATAGTTGTTGAATTAATTCATAAATACCATCATATTAGAAAATGCTTATATGGTCGTTAGTCTATGTCAGGCACTGTTCTAAACACTGCACATAGGTTGCCTCATTTAAAGAATGAATGCATACAGCCAGGTGATCCTTTTGGTTGATAAGCACCAAATTGTGAGTTAAATGTGGCAAACATGGGAAAACTACTTTAGCAGCCACTGTGTCACCAACCCACAATCCCATTTTCTTGCTTCCACTTTTTTCAGCTCACTAGTGACCTCCCATGGGGCTTCAGTCTATCTCCATTCTAGAAACAATCTGATATTAGGCAGGAAGTTTCAAGGACCCCCATCCTCTTCCCTAGTGCCTGGTAGCATCAAGCCTCAGTGCTGAACACAAGCTCCAGGCTGTGTTGTCGATGGCCTTGCAGCTAATCTGACCCAGTGTAAGGTGTCTGAATAGTGACTGTAGTCAGTGTTTATATAGTTGTCTATCCCTTTCTCAGATCTTCAAATTGTCTGTCCTGGAATGGTCCATTAGTACCATGTTTTCCAAGCTCAATAGTCTCACTTCTTCTATCCTCATGTGCCTCAGTCAATAGGATGGTACTTTAGACTGAATCCCTATTCCAAGATTTTATTTGAATAACATCTGAGATAACTGGGACTTCTATTCATTCCCCACTGCTTCCTATGCTTCTGCTGAGGAGTTTTCTGACAGCTGTGGGTAGAATTATAGTAGCTGATTGTTTGTTGGACTGCTGGACTTTTGAGCATTGTCCTTACTACTCCTTGGAGGTTCCTGGTCTGGATCTTTCTTGAGACTGTGATGGGCTTGTTTGCCTGTATAAATGGAGCTTGGCTGCCAGTCCAAACCTTACCTGCATGTATCATGGTAGTTTCGATGTGAGAAAGCATAATTTTTGCCTTTGTTTAGCTTATAACATAATCCTTTTTTAAAAGCTAAACTTCCTTGATCACATATTATGTGCCAGACATAAAACTTTCACATAAAAGCTTCAGGGTAGGCATTACTATCCCCTTTATACGATGAAGAAACCATGTTTCTGAAATATTAAATGGTTTTCTCAAGGTCACAGAGTAAGTGGTGGAACCGAGATTCAAATTACCACCAGTCTGACTCCAAACACCAAGCTCTTTCTCTGCATATTGGAGGAGGAAACACTTGGGACACACAGAGAAGTATTTCTGGGCCTCTGAAGGAGGCTGAATTCATAATAAGTTCTCAATCAATACTCTTTGCTTTAAATGTTGACCCAGTGTTGCTGTCCAAGCCTTTCTTATTGATTGTGGTTAAAGCAATTGTAACATCATGAAGTAGAACCAATCAAAAGCTTCCCTGAAATGAATGAACATGGAATGCCTTGTAGTTACATGACTGTGGGTTGCCAAAAATGACAGAAGATGTGGTTATAAGCACATTCAAATCCAGTAAAAGCCTTACAATTGCTGGAACAATTTTCTTCAAGTAGATGAGGGTATTTGAGTGTGGCAAACAGGTATAAATTCTGTGTAAACAGTGGTGTGCTTGGGCTACCCTGAAGATCACAAAAAGTGATGAGGCAATGGGTGGGCCAGCACATTCTTCTTAAAAAGCAGTGGAATGCCAGCAGCATCAGGAAAGGGCCTGGGGGCCATAGAGGACCAAGTATACCTTTCAGAAGAAGAATAACATAATCACAGTGGGAAGTGGCCAGAACAGTAGCTACTCCTTGATCATCTCTAGCATGGATTGGTTAGCAATGCACACCTGGTACACGATACAATATCTGAGTGAGTGCACATATAATGCAATGATCCATCGGTGTCTACATGAGCAAGAGTGATCTGAATAGGCATATATAACATCAGAAGATGTTTGTGAAGCATATGTATAAACATGCATAAGACCTGAGTGAACATGTGTATCATCTGCAAAAGGGTAGGTAATAGTTAAATAAGCACATGAATATCAAAGATCAAAGTGAATAGTTTAACATATGTAACATTTAAATGAGCGTTGTTAACAACACAGTGAACATTTGCATTATTTTCATGTACATGTGTGCTGTCTAATGAGGATTTGCAATATCTCAGGAATAACATCTGAATAAGCACATGTGCTATATAAATATCAGTGTGTAATGTTGGAGCTCTTTGCCATCTAAGTGAATATGGTTTTTAGAAAAGCTGGCCAGGCACAGTGGTTCACACCTGTAATCCCAGCACCTTGAGAGGCTGACGTGGAAGGATTGCTTGAGCCCAGGAGTTTGAAAGCACTCTGGGTAACATAGTGAGACCCCATCTCTACAAAAAAATTTAAAACTTAGCCAGATGTGGTGGCCCACACCTGTAGTCCCAGCTACAAGGGAGTCTAAAGTGGGAGGGATTGCTTGAGCCCAGGAGATCAAAGCTGCAGACATGTGTAACATTTTAGTGAACATGTGTATCACCCACATGAATAAGGACATCATCTGAACAGGCAGGGAGAACAGCTGAATGAGGGTGTGTGACATCTAAGTCAGTGGATCTCAAACTTGAGCATGGCCAGAATCATCTGCACAACTTGCACAGATTGCTGGGACCTCACCCCAGAGTTTCTGATTCAGCAGATTAAGGGTGAGGTTAGAATTTGCATTTCTAATGAGCTTCCAGGTGATGCTGCGCCTGGTGGTCTGGAAAGTGCATTTTGAGAACCACTGTCCTAAGTATGTGTAACACCTGCATGTAGCACCCAAGTGAACTGATTAACATCTAAGTCAGATCTAAGTGAACATGTTAACATTTAAGGGACAAATGTATCACCCAAACAAGTATTGTGCCATCTACAGGAGCACATGTAACATTTGAATGATGTGCTTAGAATATAAGTGAACCTGTGTTACATCTCAATACCTCTGTCAAACATGTGAACAAGCATGTTTAAAATCTGAGGGTATGTGGAATATCTGAGTGAGTGCTAGTACCATCTGAGTAGATTTAACCCTAGAAGGTATGTATGTGTTTTACACCTGAAAGTATTCATTGTCTGTATCATAAGACAAACATACAAATAATTACCATACACTGTGGGAAATGCAGCAACGAGTGTCCAAGGACCAGAGACACACAAGAAACAATGGCCACATTCGGAATGGAATCCACCCAGAGGAGGATGTGTGGATGGAAGAGATGACGTGTGAGGTCTGTTTCAAAAGCTGATTAGGAATTCTTCAGGATGCCAGGAAGAGGTAGGTGGGGGAGGTATTTCTGTAAGAGGGCCCAGCTAAGGCAATAAGCATAAAATATAAAATAGCTTGGCATGTCTGGAGAACCTCATGTAGTTTTGGATTTGTATAATGAAAATACGAGGAGTAGAGAATGAGACTAGAGTGTTCATGAGACATCAGGTCACAGAAGTCCTTGTGGCCTATAACACTGAACCTGAACATGGTGGTGCTTTTTTTCCCCCTCCCAGTAAGTGATAGAGCATCAATGCATAGATTTAAGCAAGGAAGTCATGTGATTGGTTTGTGTTCAGAAATATCACTCTGGAGGCCGAGTGGAAGATAGATTGGAAATGTAGCAGGAAATCTACTGCCAACATCTGTTTATGCCAGATGATAAGGTCTTAAATTATAGCAAAAGCAGTGGAAAGAGGCAGAATAAGAAGACATTTTAGAAGTAAAATTCAATAGCACTCGTGGACTTGTGTCCTGGTGGGTCATGAGTATCAGGTAGAACGAATAAATGAGATGGGGGAGGAAGGCAGGATGCACAGGGAGGGATGATGCATTTGATATCAGACACAGTCAATCGAGGCACTTCTGCAACATTCAGAAGGGGAGGTTGCATACCCCTTCTAGGGTCTGGAGGTCAGGGAATAGTTCAGGTCAAAGACAGAAGTGTGGAGATGATCTGTCAGTGATAACTAAACTCATGGGAATGGGACTGACTAGTGAATGAGTGGGGAACAAAGAGGCTAAAGATGTGGAGCCCCAGGGGTCATCAACATGTGAATGGTGGGTAAAAGAAGAGAAAGGGAAATGAAGTCAACCCATCAGGGAAGCAGGCAAGATGCAGCAGCAAGTGGCCTCTCAAAACAGTGCATCCCTTTAAAAATAGGAAAAGTGTATTTAATGTAAATGTCAAGGATCAAGTGTGTGGTTCAAGAGGAACCAACTGGGAACAGGAATTCCTGAGTTCCATCCTGGCCATGCCACTGGGTACTTTTGTGGTCTTGGTTCATTAATTGGAGTTTCTGGGCCTCCATTTTCAAATATGGAAAGTGAGAAGTGAGTCTTGAATATAAGAGAACAAGAGCTCACTAACTTCTCTTTTGTCTATAGATGAGCGTTTAAAGGCTGTCCTCGACATGCTTGTTCTTATACAAGGACAGGCTCTGGAGTTGCTCAGTCCTGGGTTCAAAGCCTAAAGGCACCAATTACTAGTTCTTTGACTCTCGGAAAGTCACTCAATCCCTCTAAACCTCAATTTTCTATAAAATAAGTCTAATGGATGTGGTGTGTGTGTGTCGGGGGGAGGCGGGGGAGGAGTGTGTTGGTCAGTGGGGATGTGAATATTTAAAGAGACAAGCCATGTAAAGTGCTTAGTAAAATGCAAACAAACCAGCAACAGCAAAACAAAACCCTATGAATGCTATTATGATGGAGAAAGTTGAATTAAATTGTTTCTAATGTCCCTCCTAGCCCAGCACTGTTTGTCTGCGTCTGTTTCCCTTTTTGTCTATGATCCTGTGATGAGCCACTTGGTAAATATTCATGTCCTAAATATTGACTAGGAAGAAGGATTTGTTTTCTGATTTCTGACATATATTGCAAAGTTGAGAGAAATTAATTGTGGTGGGAAAAAAAAGCATGAAATGCAAATATATCCAGCTCTCCCTGTCTGTGGGTTACCCATCCATGAATTCAACCAACCTCAGATTGAAAATACATGGGGAGAAAAAGGATGGTTACATCTGTACTGAACAGGTACAGACTTTTTTCCCTTTGCATCATTCCCTAGACAATACGATATGACAGCCACTTACATAGTGCTTACATTGTATTAGGTATTATAAGGAATTAAGAGATGGTTTAGGATATACAGGAGAATGACCATGCGTATGTTATATGCAAAAACTACACCATTTTATGTAAGGGATTTGAGTATCTGTAGATTTTGGTATTCTTGAGAAGTCCTGGAACAACTCCCCCATGGATACCAAGGGATGACAGTACACTAAATAAATATGGCTCACCAGAAAGTGCCCTTCTTTCTCCTCTTCTCCCCTTGAAGCAGTGAAGGAGTCTGTGCTGTATAGAACTGAAAGAGAGTTTTCCACTAATGTCCAATAATAAATTGCTTCCCAGATCCAGTCACTGATGATTATTTTTTCTCAGTGTATTGCAGTAAAATGAGAAAGAGTTATAGATTTGGGAAAAAAATGTGGTGGCTGATTATTTTCTTTCTTTCTTTTTCTGACATACGGTCAGAGGGGCTCATCATTTCCTTTACAAGAATCACATTTTAGGCATTTTTTTTCTTACGTGCAATATTCTGAAACATGAAATTTACAAAAAAAAATGAGTTAATATGGGTCCCTAACTAAATTTAGAACGCAGCAAAGTAGAAAGATAAAAAGGTCTGATTTAAAGAATGTCACACATGGAAAGTGAAGAAGATGGGAAGATCTCACCTTTGGGGTGGCAGTGATTATTTTGCAATGCAAAATTATTTCATCTCCATTTGCAAAGGCAGGCTAATGAGACTGAGTGGATTAAAGGGGGGACCTGGGAAAGGAATAAGAATTAGGTTTTACCTTCTAATTACTTATTTATTTTTATTTGTGAAAAAAACCTAAGACTGCATTTTCTAGGTATTATTGGAACTGTCTGCCTTTGTATGAGTCTTCCACCCCAACTCCTCACACTTCTCTCAACTCACCTGCTTAAAGTGCAACATCATTATTTTTGACCACTAAAATAATATAATTATTACGGAAATGTATTTTAGAACACACACTTTTATATGCTAGCATTTAAGAAATTTCAAGGAATTATTTTCTGATAATATATGGGAGAAGCTCAAAGACAGTTCATCAGAAACTATTTACTCTTTGTTCCGTGTGTGTGTGTGTGTGTGTGTGTGTGTGTGTGTGTTGTGTTCCTAGTTCATATTTATCAAGCAGTTATAATACACAGGTATTTCCCCAGGTTCTTTATAATTTAATCCTCATAGTTAGGGCCCCACAGTTAGGACTGTTATTTCCCCATTCTATAGCTAAGAGAACTGTGGTTAGTAATGCAAAGTAATTCACCCACAGTAACATAGCTAAACAGTGGGAGAATCAAATGTGAATGCAGATCTGCCTGATCTCAAAACTCACACTTTGAGCCAGTGTGCAGTATTGTGTATACTAAAAGGTATGTGTAAGTAAATTAAGCCTTAAGAAATGCACACCCATTCCTGTTAGTGTCTTGTTGAGCTTACTGCTGGAACTTTGTGCATTCTTTTATTATAGCATTTGCTCTGTGTTATAATTAGTTACATTTCTCTCATTCTTTACCAATGGTTCTTGACTTTTTTGTGTGGTGGGATGGCAGTCATGAATTCTTCTAAGGATTTATCAAAGTTAGGACCTCTCTGAAGAAACATGTGGACTGGGTTAATGTGCCAGTGATGACTTACATATCATCATATATTTCTCCCATCAAAATATAATAAGTGTCCTTGGGTTTTCTGGCTTTTTATTTATCATTCTTTTATTTAGTATGCTAATACTAAAGGAAATGTGGTCCTGTCCTGAAAATGAGTGTTTACTGTCAATGCTCCTGAATCTTTGTTACTGTATGTCACCTTTTGGTCCAGCTGCAGCTCCAGAACCAGCTCTGGACAGTGGTTGACACATTTCTTGAAGACCTGAGGATAATCTGAGGTAATTCAAATGGAAAAAAAAAAAAAGAAACAATAACAATTCAGCATCAGACATTATTGCTTTCCAAAATTTCTTATGAAACACTTTATGGAATATATGGTCATCCACTTGAATAAATGGAATAAAAGGATGAATGAAACGATAAACAAATGTAAAGATCCTTTAGATATCAATGGACCATATGGTTCAAACCCTTGAACAAAACTATTAGCTCCTTGAGGGCAAATCTTTTTTTTCTGCATTCTTCATCATTCTATAGAAGCTGATTCTCAAGAACTGTGGTATTTCTTGAATATATTTAGAGAATAAACCCATGAACCCAATACAGATAACCCTAAACCACAAAGCAGATGAGCTCCTCTGTTTAAACTTTTTCCTTTAAAGCCAGTCTAGAAGCCCTTTAAAGAGTACTTGCAAATACAAGTGCAGTACTATTCTCCCAAAAAAGAATTCTGCCATCACCTCTTCCATGCTGTTTATAAGTTACTACCTTTTTCACTTATCATGTTTCTAGTAATTTTTATGTAATTGTCTGCTTTCCCATTATACTATAAGCTTGTAAACTCCTTGAAGGTAGGAACAACTTTTTTTTTTTTTTTTTTTTTGTGGTTCCTATTATAGCTTTATTCTTTTTTTTTTTATTTTATTATTATACTTTAAGTTTTAGGGTACATGTGCACATTGTGCAGGTTAGTTACATATGTATACATGTGACATGCTGGTGCGCTGCACCCACTAACTCGTCATCTAGCATTAGGTATATCTCCCAATGCTATCCCTCCCCCATCCCCCGACCCCACCACAGTCCCCAGAGTGTGATATTCCCCTTCCTGTGTCCATGTGATCTCATTGTTCAATTCCCACCTATGAGTGAGAATATGCGGTGTTTGGTTTTTTGTTCTTGCGATAGTTTACTGAGAATGATGGTTTCCAATTTCATCCATGTCCCTACAAAGGACATGAACTCATCATTTTTTATGGCTGCATAATATTCCATGGTGTATATGTGCCACATTTTCTTAATCCAGTCTATCATTGTTGGACATTTGGGTTGGTTCCAAGTCTTTGCTATTGTGAATAATGCCGCAATAAACATACGTGTGCATGTGTCTTTATAGCAGCATGATTTATAGTCATTTGGGTATATACCCAGTAATGGGATGGCTGGGTCAAATGGTATTTCTAGTTCTAGATCCCTGAGGAATCACCACACTGACTTCCACAATGGTTGAACTAGTTTACAGTCCCACCAACAGTGTAAAAGTGTTCCTATTTCTCCACATCCTCTCCAGCACCTGTTGTTTCCTGACTTTTTAGTGATTGCCATTCTAACTGGTGTGAGATGATATCTCATAGTGGTTTTGATTTGCATTTCTCTGATGGCCAGTGATGATGAGCATTTTTTCATGTGTTTTTTGGCTGCATAAATGTCTTCTTTTGAGAAGTGTCTGTTCATGTCCTTCGCCCACTTTTTGATGGGGTTGTTTGTTTTTTTCTTGTAAATTTGTTTGAGTTCATTGTAGATTCTGGATATTAGCCCTTTGTCAGATGAGTAGGTTGCGAAAATTTTCTCCCATGTTGTAGGTTGCCTGTTCACTCTGATGGTAGTTTCTTTTGCTGTGCAGAAGCTCTTTAGTTTAATTAGATCCCATTTGTCAATTTTGGCTTTTGTTACCATTGCTTTTGGTGTTTTGGACATGAAGTCCTTGCCTACGCCTATGTCCTGAATGGTAATGCCTAGGTTTTCTTCTAGGGTTTTTATGGTTTTAGGTCTAACGTTTAAATCTTTAATCCATCTTGAATTGATTTTTGTATAAGGTGTAAGGAAGGGATCCAGTTTCAGCTTTCTACATATGGCTAGCCAGTTTTCCCAGCACCATTTATTAAATAGGGAATCCTTTCCCCATTGCTTGTTTTTCTCAGGTTTGTCAAAGATCAGATAGTTGTAGATATGCGGCATTATTTCTGAGGGCTCTGTTCTGTTCCATTGATCTATATCTCTGTTTTGGTACCAGTACCATGCTGTTTTGGTTACTGTAGCCTTGTAGTATAGTTTGAAGTCAGGTAGTGTGATGCCTCCAGCTTTGTTCTTTTGGCTTAGGATTGACTTGGCGATGCGGGCTCTTTTTTGGTTCCATATGAACTTTAAAGTAGTTTTTTCCAATTCTGTGAAGAAAGTCATTGGTAGCTTGATGGGGATGGCATTGAATCTGTAAATTACCTTGGGCAGTATGGCCATTTTCACGATATTGATTCTTCCTACCCATGAGCATGGAATGTTCTTCCATTTGTTTGTGTCCTCTTTTATTTCCTTGAGCAGTGGTTTGTAGTTCTCCTTGAAGAGGTCCTTCACATCCCTTGTAAGTTGGATTCCTAGGTATTTTATTCTCTTTGAAGCAATTGTGAATGGGAGTTCACTCATGATTTGGCTCTCTGTTTGTCTGTTGTTGGTGTATAAGAATGCTTGTGATTTTTGTACATTGATTTTGTCTCCTGAGACTTTGCTGAAGTTGCTTATCAGCTTAAGGAGATTTTGGGCTGAGACGATGGGGTTTTCTAGATAAACAATCATGTCATCTGCAAACAGGGACAATTTGACTTCCTCTTTTCCTAATTGAATACCCTTTATTTCCTTCTCCTGCCTGATTGCCCTGGCCAGAACTTCCAACACTATGTTGAATAGGAGCGGTGAGAGAGGGCATCCCTGTCTTGTGCCAGTTTTCAAAGGGAATGCTTCCAGTTTTTGCCCATTCAGTATGATATTGGCTGTGGGTTTGTCATAGATAGCTCTTATTATTTTGAAATACATCCCATCAATACCTAATTTATTGAGAGTTTTTAGCATGAAGGGTTGTTGAATTTTGTCAAAGGCTTTTTCTGCATCTATTGAGATAATCATGTGGTTTTTGTCTTTGGCTCTGTTTATATGCTGGATTACATTTATTGATTTGCATATATTGAACCAGCCTTGCATCCCAGGGATGAAGCCCACTTGATCATGGTGGATAAGCTTTTTGATGTGCTGCTGGATTTGATTTGCCAGTATTTTATTGAGGATTTTTGCATCAATGTTCATCAAGGATATTGGTCTAAAATTCTCTTTTTTGGTTGTGTCTCTGCCCGGCTTTGGTATCAGAATGATGCTGGCCTCATAAAATGAGTTAGGGAGGATTCCTTCTTTTTCTATTGATTGGAATAGTTTCAGAAGGAATGGTACCAGCTCCTCCTTGTACCTCTGGTAGAATTCAGCTGTGAATCCATCTGGTCCTGGACTCTTTTTGGTTGGTAAACTATTGATTATTGCCACAATTTCAGATCCTGTTATTGGTCTATTCAGAGATTCAACTTCTTCCTGGTTTAGTCTTGGGAGAGTGTATGTGTCGAGGAATGTATCCATTTCTTCTAGATTTTCTAGTTTATTTGCGTAGAGGTGTTTGTAGTATTCTCTGATGGTAGTTTGTATTTCTGTGGGATTGGTGGTGATATCCCCTTTATCATTTTTTATTGTGTCTATTTGATTCTTCTCTCTTTTTTTCTTTATTAGTCTTGCTAGCGGTCTATCAATTTTGTTGATCCTTTCAAAAAACCAGCTCCTGGATTCATTGATTTTTTGAAGGGTTTTTTGTGTCTCTATTTCCTTCAGTTCTGCTCTGATTTTAGTTATTTCTTGCCTTCTGCTAGCTTTTGAATGTGTTTGCTCTTGCTTTTCTAGTTCTTTTAATTGTGATGTTAGGGTGTCAATTTTGGATCTTTCCTGCTTTCTCTTGTGGGCATTTAGTGCTATAAATTTCCCTCTACACACTGCTTTGAATGCGTCCCAGAGATTCTGGTATGTGGTGTCTTTGTTCTCGTTGGTTTCAAAGAACATCTTTATTTCTGCCTTCATTTCGTTATGTACCCAGTAGTCATTCAGGAGCAGGTTGTTCAGTTTCCATGTAGTTGAGCGGCTTTGAGTGAGATTCTTAATCCTGAGTTCTAGTTTGATTGCACTGTGGTCTGAGAGATAGTTTGTTATAATTTCTGTTCTTTTACATTTGCTGAGGAGAGCTTTACTTCCAACTATGTGGTCAATTTTGGAATAGGTGTGGTGTGGTGTTGAAAAAAATGTATATTCTGTTGATTTGGGGTGGAGAGTTCTGTAGATGTCTATTAGGTCCGCTTGGTGCAGAGCTGAGTTCAATTCCTGGGTATCCTTGTTGACTTTCTGTCTCGTTGATCTGTCTAATGTTGACAGTGGGGTGTTAAAGTCTCCCATTATTAATGTGTGGGAGTCTAAGTCTCTTTGTAGGTCACTCAGGACTTGCTTTATGAATCTGGGTGCTCCTGTATTCGGTGCATAAATATTTAGGATAGTTAGCTCCTCTTGTTGAATTGATCCCTTTACCATTATGTAATGGCCTTCTTTGTCTCTTTTGATCTTTGTTGGTTTAAAGTCCGTTTTATCAGAGACTAGGATTGCAACCCCTGCCTTTTTTTGTTTTCCATTGGCTTGGTAGATCTTCCTCCATCCTTTTATTTTGAGCCTATGTGTGTCTCTGCATGTGAGATGGGTTTCCTGAATACAGCACACTGATGGTCTTGACTCTTTATCCAACTTGCCAGTCTGTGTCTTTTAATTGCAGAATTTAGTCCATTTACATTTAAAGTTAATATTGTTATGTGTGAATTTGATCCTGTCATTATGATGTTAGCTGGTGCTTTTGCTCGTTAGTTGATGCAGTTTCTTCCTAGTCTCGATGGTCTTTACATTTTGGCATGATTTTGCAGCGGCTGGTACCGGTTGTTCCTTTCCATGTTTAGCGCTTCCTTCAGGAGCTCTTTTAGGGCAGGCCTGGTGGTGACAAAATCTCTCAGCATTTGCTTGTCTATAAAGTATTTTATTTCTCCTTCACTTATGAAGCTTTGTTTGGCTGGATATGAAATTCTGGGTTGAAAATTCTTTCCTTTAAGAATGTTGAATATTGGCCCCCACTCTCTTCTGGCTTGTATGGTTTCTGCCGAGAGATCCGCTGTTAGTCTGATGGGCTTTCCTTTGAGGGTAACCCGACCTTTCTCTCTGGCTGCCCTTAACATTTTTTCCTTCATTTCAACTTTGGTGAATCTGACAATTATGTGTCTGGGAGTTGCTCTTCTCGAGGAGTATCTTTGTGGCGTTCTCTGTATTTCCTGAATCTGAACGTTGGCCTGCCTTGCTAGATTGGGGAAGTTCTCCTGGATAATATCCTGCAGAGTGTTTTCCAACTTGGTTCCATTCTCCACATCACTTTCAGGTACACCAATCAGACGTAGATTTGGTCTTTTCACATAGTCCCATATTTCTTGGAGGCTTTGCTCATTTCTTTTTATTCTTTTTTCTCTAAACTTCCCTTCTCGCTTCATTTCATTCATTTCATCTTCCATCGCTGATACCCTTTCTTCCAGTTGATCGCATCGGCTCCTGAGGCTTCTGCATTCTTCACGTAGTTCTCGAGCCTTGGCTTTCAGCTCCATCAGCTCCTTTAAGCACTTCTCTGTATTGGTTATTCTAGTTATACATTCTTCTAAATTTTTTTCAAAGTTTTCAACTTCTTTGCCTTTGGTTTGAATGTCCTCCCGTAGCTCAGAGTAATTTGATCGTCTGAAGCCTTCTTCTCTCAGCTCCTCAAAATCATTCTCCATCCAGCTTTGTTCCGTTGCTGGTGAGGAACTGCGTTCCTTTGGAGGAGGAGAGGCGCTCTGCATTTTAGAGTTTCCAGTTTTTCTGTTCTGTTTTTTCCCCATCTTTGTGGTTTTATCTACTTTTGGTCTTTGATGATGGTGATGTACAGATGGGTTTTCGGTGTAGATGTCCTTTCTGGTTGTTAGTTTTCCTTCTAACAGACAGGACCCTCAGCTGCAGGTCTGTTGGAATACCCTGCCGTGTGAGGTGTCAGTGTGCCCCTGCTGGGGGGTGCCTCCCAGTTAGGCTGCTCGGGGGTCAGGGGTCAGGGACCCACTTGAGGAGGCAGTCTGCCCGTTCTCAGATCTCCAGCTGCGTGCTGGGAGAACCACTGCTCTCTTCAAAGCTGTCAGACAGGGACACTTAAGTCTGCAGAGGTTACTGCTGTCTTTTTGTTTGTCTGTGCCCTGCCCCTAGAGGTGGAGCCTACAGAGGCAGGCAGGCCTCCTTGAGCTGTGGTGGGCTCCACCCAGTTCGAGCTTCCCGGCTGCTTTGTTTACCTAAGCAAGCCTGGGCAATGGCGGGCGCCCCTCCCCCAGCCTCGTTGCCGCCTTGCAGTTTAATCTCAGACTGCTGTGCTAGCAATCAGCGAGATTCCGTGGGCGTAGGACCCTCTCAGCCAGGTGTGGGATATAGTCTCGTGGTGCGCCGTTTTTTAAGCCGGTCTGAAAAGCACAATATTCGGGTGGGAGTGACCCGATTTTCCAGGTGCGTTCGTCACCCCTTTCTTTGACTCGGAAAGGGAACTCCCTGACCCCTTGCGCTTCCCAGGTGAGGCAATGCCTCGCCCTGCTTCGGCTCGCGCACGGTGCGCGCACACACTGGCCTGCGCCCACTGTCTGGCACTCCCTAGTGAGATGAACCCGGTACCTCAGATGGAAATGCAGAAATCACCCGTCTTCTGCGTCGCTCACGCTGGGAGCTGTAGACCGGAGCTGTTCCTATTCGGCCATCTTGGCTCCTCCCCTCAGGAACAACTTTTATCTTCTACTATTGTAATTCCATGTTTTTGGAAATAATAATAATAATAATCATGTTTGTTAAAAGAGACTTGAATCAGGTAATGCATGATAAAAATCAATTGATCTGTCTATGGACCAGGAGTTGTCAGATAGTAAGCATCTTGCAAGGCTTATTCTACTTCGTATTCCTGACTGATAGCATAGAATCTGGTACCCAGTAGGTGCTCAATAGATGTTTGTTGAATGAAATAAAAACATGCATAGGTGATGCATAAAGAAATGATTATGCAATGTTTTGGATAAGTAGTATGATAAGATAATTTATTGTCCACTTTGAGACTCTTTGTGAAGACAGGCACTGTTTGTAACTAAGTAGTCATGCCAGAACAACAGGCATAGACAAGAACTGTCCAGGCATACAAGAAATTTGGTCACCTTAAGACAGCAAAATGGATTTCTGTTTAGAGAAAATAAAAACCAATAGCATTGTAATTCAGTTCCTTTTATCCTTATTCTTCCTTTGTTTCTTTATTTCTGGTAAATCCCACTTCATGCCATAAATTAACTCCAAACAATTAAGCTACATCTTTTGTCTGCTTTGGAAGTTTCAGAATTCTTTTCATTTCCAAGAGCTATTTTTTATAAAATGTGTTTTTATGTTAATATGCAATGGGTTTATTAGTGTTATTCCTGAATTAATAAATATTTTTTCAGTTTATCAATATTATTTACCAATATAGTAAAGACTGATATAACCCACATAAGCAAAAGCTCTTTTTTGTCTTCAATAATTTTTTTTTTTTTTTTGAGATGGAGTCTCCCTCTGTCACCCAGGCTGGAGTGCAGTGGCGCGATCTCGGCTCACTGCAAGCTCCGCCTTCCGGATTGACGCCATTCTCCTGCCTCAGCCTCCCAAGTAGCTGGGACTACAGGCGCCCGCCACCACGCCTGGCTAATTTTTTGTATTTTTTTTTTTTTTTTTTTTTTTTAGTAGAGTTGGGGTTTCACCGTAGCCAGGATGGTCTCTATCTCCTGACGTCACGATCCGCCGGCCTCGGCCTCCCAAAGTGCTGGGATTACAGGTGTGAGCCACCGCGCCCGACTGGTCCTCAGTATTTTTGAAGGGTATAAAGGGGTCCTGAAATCAAATAGTTTGGGAACCTCTGATCTACTGTAATTAAACACCATCATTTCAATAGAAAACTGAAACTTAGATTTCCCCAAGGGCGTAGTTGATGCATTTAAATAAGCATTTTATCATCTTCTCTCTTTTGACATTGCTCATCATGTTTCGTATATCTAAGATTGTGAGCTCTTATAAAGCCAGTGCTATGCCATATACTTCTGGCTTATAGCACAATCATAGCTACACAGGAAGTATTCAAAATGTACTCACTGAGTGAATTATTATTCCCGTAAATTTCAAAATTTCTTCTAGTATGTTTTTCAAAAGGTATACATAGTAGGTTCATGCACAAAGCACTTAATGTTGATTTTTTTAGCATTCCCATGGCAAGATCTTATAATTTAGTAATCTGTAATCCTATTATCCCAGGATAATCGCTGTTAGTATTCTTGGGTATATTCCTTTTTTCTTTTTCAATACAGTTTGGAGTATTTGAGTACGACCTTATATTTTAATAAATTTTCCTCATAATCAACTAGCCATATATAATATCTGCCACTGGGCAGATTGTTTGTGACATGTCACTTTCAAAGTTACTTTGAATTCTTGGCATATACAAATGGCCATTGTGTGGTGCTGAGTGACTCTGCTTTAGGAAAGGTGGGGATGCTTCTGTTCAATAATTTCCCAGCAAAGTATCCCAGACATGTAAACAGTTAGTCATTTTCAACAGTACTAAAAGAAAACAGCTCTTGTTATTGTTTTAAATTATCATCTTCAAAAGCAATATAATATGTATGTAAAGTGAATAATATAAATTACAAAACAAGTTTTTAGCTAACAAATTAGCTGAAGAATAGCAGGAACAAGAATTTCACCAGGCTTCAGAATTCATATGATGATTCAACAGGATTTTTGAATTTGAGTTTCAGATTGAGTGATAGATCTCACTTATAATTTAAAACATACAAATGACAATAACAACAAAAATAATACAGTTTCTTAGCTTGCAGAGTGACAAGGATTAAAATGTTGCATAATACTCAGTGTTGCTGAGGATAATAAAAATGTAAATAAACACAACTATTTAGATGGCAATATGGAGACATCTAGCAAAATTAAAAGGCATCTATCCATTTACCTAGCAAATTCCTTTTATTCTGAAACATTTACACAAATTTGCAAAATACACGTAGAAGAATGTTATATCATTGTTTTTAATAGCAAAAATTGAATGAAACCTACTGTCTATCAATTGTGGACTGTTTTTATGAGCCATGATATATCCAGGCCACTAAATCTAGTAAAATTATCAAAAGGATTGAGGTAGAGATATAATGTCCTGATAGTGAATACTCTCCAAGGGGTATTGCTAAGATTTAGCATGCTTCAATTTTTGTAATTTCTGGACGAATAAGAAGTTGCTAACAGTGGTTACATCTAAAGTGCAGGGTGGCATGGAGGAAGAAAAAATATAGGTGTTTGCTTTTTGAGAAATGATGTTCATGTGTTACTTCTATAATTAGTAATAGTTTATAAAGAGCCTTAAGATGTATACCTTTTGATCCAGCAATATGATATTTTGGAATTAATCTTATGGGAATAACTAGGTATGTGTGCAAAGCCATGGTCCCATAAGATGTTCTTTTTGCCTTGCTAATAATCGTGAAGAATTGGGAGCAATATAAGTGATCAACCACAGAAGATGGGTTAATGGAATTATAGTTTGTTATTAAAAATAATGTCATAAAGGAATATTAATCATATATTAGATGATGACCCTTGGAAAAGTATGGACAGTGTAACTAAATATCTAAAATGATATATACCAAAACATGACTAGCGGTGGGGTAATGGGTGATTTTTATATTCTTCTTTTTATTTTTAAATCTATGTTTCCTAAGTACTCTCTAAAGAACAAGTGTTATTGCTATTAAAAAGAAAATAAGCAATTCAAGTCGTTTTCAGAAAATAACAAATAAAAGCTAGGAAGATATTCCTGCTAAGGGTAAATCAATCTTCTCTTGATATTATTAGAATATCTGATTCTATATTATTGTAGCCCAATTCTATTTCATAGTTCAGTAATGCTAATAATGCTTTGCTTATGCAATAGAATTTATATGTAACTGATGCATTCATAAGACCTTTTCTATTTAGCAGTCAATTCCTTTAATAAAAATATTTTGGAGATTGTATGGTGAAATATTTGGGGGATAGTATTTTCCTGTTATACCTATATTTGCATGCCTAAATAACATTAAATTATCAATGCAATTTGGTATGATTTGTCAATATTCTGTTAGTGCTAGTCTGGCATTTTATAAATAGATTTATTTATTTTGCTAAGATAGACAAACTATGAAGCACTGTCAGTTACTTTGTGAAAATTTCAAATACCAGGTAGTGAAACCTAATAGCACAGTTGTAAAAACTGCATATTATTATTTTCTGAGTCTCTCTGACCCCACAGCAGTGCAAATGCTTGCATTTCTCTCTGCTTGACCCAATTGAATCATATCGTTTTAAGGTATCTGTCCACCCAACCTACCATGGATAATGAGACATTTAGAAAGGCATATAAATATTAGAAAGTCTTTGTAGTAGAACTGAATAAAATGTATTCGCTCAAATACCAATGTTTTTAAATAGATACAGCGTTGCTTCAGCCTCACCTCCTCCCTTCCCAACCACATAATGTGCTTTATTTAAACAAATTGAAGTTCAGAGGATCATTTGGAATTTCCCTGTCCCCATATACACACTTTATCAGCAGGCATACATGTCAACTGAGAATCATATTTAAAGACAATGCAGTTTTACAATGTTATTTAAACATCTTACCTGCGTATTAGCTTAACACCTAGTTTGTCACTTAGAAACTTTTGTGTCAAAAATTATTCATGGTGGTGAAGACAACTTTCAGATTCTGTCATTTCTATATTGTTTTATGAAGCACATACATATATGTATTTATATTTACATAATAGGCAACAGGTACTCCACATATAGAATTAAAAAGTGAGTACAGAAGGAAATAAAAGTTTATTTTCATGAATAGCATTTAGATAAGATTGCTGTCCTTACCTATTTAGTATTGGGTTCATATTCTGAGAGGATACAATTTTTGATTTTAGGAGTTTGGCTATTGTTCTCATCTAAAAATATCCAAGATTAACAGCTTCAGATGCAAACAGTGTCATTAGCAGTCTTTCAGATGGTTTAATACAGAAGCTATCTCTTCCTGCATTTAATCATTGTCTCCTCCTGGCATGCAGTAATTCCTTCCCTCCACATGCAGAACCCCCACATGACTCCATAGTTACCCCAAGCAGTGCAGAACTGAGCTTGACAGTTTCCGTATGGTGCTTCACACTTTGGGGAAATGTGGGAATGAGGAATGCTGAGAGTGCACCTTTCATTCCTCCAAATTGATATAGGAAGTGGTGCTGGCAGCTGTCTAACTGTGAAACATCTGAGCAGGTGTGTTAAAACTTCATCTTCACATTGTCAAATGCCAGGTGGCAGCACTTGCTTGTTTGTTTGTTTATCATTTATGTCAAAATAAACCCAGCAGAAACAAGAGCCTGTCAATTCACATGGCAGACACTGACCATTCAGATGTCTGCCTCAGATATTTTCTTTCATTTTCAGTGAACATGATTTGCAGCTTAAAAGATGGATTCTTTCTTCTAGTTTTTTACTTCTCATTTTGGGAACTGAAAAATCGTGAAAGATGCTTCTAATTATCTATTCACAGTTGTATATACCTGGACCCTCAACCGTGGCTGTGTTATTCTTTTAGACATAGACATTCAAGTTCAGGAGGTCATAGAATGGTAATCAGAGTTGAGAGAGGAAGTTATAAGAATAATTTTATTCTCTTGCTTAATTCTTAAGCATATTAATCCTTTTTTTTTTTTTTTAACCCTGGAGGATGTTTTAGTAGCCTCCAGTGTGAAAACTAAATACTGGTTCTGATTTACTTGAACCAAAACTAAACGAAACAAAACACTAAGGCATTAGGTCAGTGTTTTTGTACATTTATGCCTTTATACTATGTAAATACTGTGTGCTGTTTAGAGAAGCAACAAGAAAGTGATATGAGTAAGGGATATATAACTATTATTTATGTTTTTAATTTTTCTGCAGGAAATAGATCTCTTATAAGATGAACCAGAAAATTTATCTTCCCAAGATCTTTGCAAACCAAAATTCAAATGTACCCAGGGCACTACAATTACATTCCTAATAGGAATTTTTACAACTTCTTAAATAGTCTAGTATTGAATATGCTTGGGGGAAAATGTAAGTGTTAAGAAAGAACAGAAAAAACAAAAAAACAAAAAACAAAAAACAAAAAAACCAAAAAACAGTCTATTTTGCCACTGAAGCTTTTTCACATGCAAAAAACCAAACAACAACAAAAACAGAAAACCAACCAAACTCCTGCATTGTTGATAGACATACCTTTTTTTTTCACAAGAAAACTTTTAAAAAAGCAATTTGCATATTTCTGCAGAAACATGAAGCTCTGTGGTTCTTTTGGTTATGTTGCAGAATTGTGCAGAAGTCTCTGCCCAGCAATAAATGAAGGCAAACTTGGAAAGGTTAGCTGCAGGGTCTGCAGGCAGAGAAGAAGGCCTGGAACCTGGAAGGGGACTTCTTAGGAGATGATATGAGGAAGCACAGATAAGGAAGGAGGGAAAGACAGTGACAGGCAGAAAATAGGGACAGTTCAGATGGTCTGAAGCATTAAAAAAAGTGTAGGCGTTTTCCTTTCAAATGAAGTCAGAGAGAAAGAATAGGAATGAGAGAATGAATGAGGCCAATCTGAGGCTAAAAAAAGAGGAATCTTCTCAAACTGAGCTTCTGTAATAACAGTAGTTAATATTTCATTGAACACTGTTCTAACTGCTTTAATGTATCATTTCATCCTCACAACACCCTTGTGACCAGGGTACTACTATCATCCCCAACATAAATGAGCAGCCTAAGACCCAGACAGGTTAAGTAACTCACCAAAATCACATCCTAGTAAATGGTGTATCAGGCAGGATCCCAACAGGGGACAGATAGCACACTTGTATTTGTCTGATTTAAGGAGACCTTAAACCTGAAGATCCAGGAAATAGATATGGCTGTGTGGATAGGGTCATCTACAAAAGACTGAGATCTTTAGATAAGGAATGTAGCTGGCCCAAGGTCACTCTGCAGGGAGAGAGGTAGGAGTATCAGACCTCACTCTCCTTTCTTCCTGTCTCCTGCCATTGCTCCCCACTGGGAGGCAGGAAGGTAAGGAAGCCAGCTGATGTGACTCGCACAGGCCAACGCCTCAGGACACAGCACAGTGTAATTAAGGTAGATCTTGGGGTAAGCAACAGTGGAAAAGGGATTTGAACTTTATCTGGTTCTGGGACAGATGCTCTTAACAATTACATATCTGCCTCTCTAAGTGCAAAGTGCTTAGGTAGAGCTGGTCCCAATTTAATGAAGACCTGAATGGTCAGCGAGGGGTTACTGTTTCTCCAGCACTCCTTAAAAGCACAGTAGGTGGATGCTGGTAGACATGCATCTCTATAAAGGGGAGAGCTTAGGACAATTTGTTAATGGTCTGGTTTAGATGAACTTATTCAGTACCTTTGAGAGGTGGTGGAGAGGTCTCCTTTTTATTTTGTTATCTCTTGTAGCTAATTATGTTTCTCAGCATAGTGTGAGCCCTGCAGTTGCTGGAGATGACTCTCCAGGTAACTTCAGCATGACACTCTGGGGCCAGACTGCATTTGATTTTGCTGCCTTCTCACATTCTGTCCCATCTCCACAGTACAGAAAGTACATTCATTTATGACACCTCAATCCATTTCCACTCCAAAACCCTAGTGAAACGAAGTGCCCCACTCACTTCTGGAAGATGGCTTTCTTCTTTCCAAATGGAGCTTCAGGAATGCACGGGAAAAGAGGCAGCCTAAGCATTTACATGTATCCGTGCTCCCAGGCTGATTCACACAAAGCATCAGCAACCTGCATAAATTTAGCCTGTGAGGGCGATTGTGATAGTTGTGAGAGTGATGACTGATTTCAATATGCAAGTATTTATTGGGTGCCTAAATGGGCAAACATTGGGGTTATAGTGATGAACACAACAGATGTAGTCTTATCATACTTTTGGGATTTTACTTTTAAAAGTACAAATTGCCAGTTGAGATTGAAAGATGTGTCTTTTCTTCCCTTAGGGAATATAAGAGAGGACAAAGAATTGAGCTTAAAAGAAAATCATTGATGTAAGAGACATAAAAAACCATATTGCATAATAGCCTTTTTAGCAACCGTTACTTAAAACCTGACAGTGAAATGAGCATATATACCATATGGCATGTGTGTATTATGCCTTTATCATATTACTTGAATGTACACTTAGCTGCATCCCATTTTAATGAAAGGGATTTCTTGCTTTCTTTATACTCAGAGAATTCCCTCAGATTCAACTACACTTAGCTGCATCCCATTTTAATGAAAGGGATTTCTTGCTTTCCTTATTCTCATAGAATTCCCTCAGATTCAACTAAAAGAGATAATAACAGCAACAATAATAGTAATTTACTCCATTAAAGATGACCACTTTATGCTAAGTTCCAAATAACTCTCACTACTTAACAGCAGATTTTGGACTCTACTCAAGACCTTCCAGTTTTTCAGAGAATGAGAAGAACATTCTGTAGAAGCACAAAACTTTCAAGATTCTCTAGGAATTAATACAAATCCAAATGCGGTTCTGTGGCCAAATGTCAGTTTCATCTAGAAAATCCAATAAATAGCTATAGAGTACTGACTGTCTGAGAGGCAGGCAACCAGGAAAAAACATGCGGTTAAGAGTACAGGCTCTGAGAGAATAATTATGTTTTGGGAACTATAGTATGTCTGTTATTAGATTCTAGTCTCATGAGTTGTTTTTTAAGTTTTTTTCTGAATTTAGACTAACTCTGCTTATTCATGTGAAACCACCAGTGATCTCTGGCTGCTGCTCAGAAGAAACAAAAGGAATGGGTAATGTAAAAGTCTGAATCAATATTCTAATTTTGTCCACATATTGGAATCAGGTAGCGGTCCCATATCAGCTTGGTTCCATCAGTTGCCCAGTTCATGGAAAGCCTTCTTATTTAGTTTACTTGGGATAATTTTGCTTAACTGTTGTGGGATATATTGCTGTTGTACTCTTTGTGTAGAAATGCAGGATAACGGCTTGGCGCAGTGGCTCACGCCTGTAATCCCAGGACTTTGGGAGGCCAAGGCGGGCGGATCACAAGGTCAAGAGATCAAGACCATCCTGGCCAAGATGGTGAAACCCCATCTCTACTAAAAATACAAAAAAGCTGGGTGTGGTGGTGCGTGCCTCTAGTCCCAACTACTCAGGAGGCTGAGACAAGGTTCGCTTGAAGCTGGGAGGTGGAGGTTGCAGTGAGCCAAGATTGCACCACTGCACTCCAGCCTGGTGACAGAGTAGGACTCCATCTCAAAAAAAAAAAAAAAAGTAAAAAAAGAAATGCAAGATAAGCTTATTGAATGTTTTCCTAAATTGAGCACTTATTAATCTTCCAAATATCACCTTTTGTTGAAACTCAAGATTTATGAGTGGCCCTCAACATACTGATGCTTTCTGACCAGGCTTCTCTCTACCCTGAATATAAAAGACCTTCATAGTTAGGCAGGGATATCATATCATCGTTCCTATTCAGCCTGAAGAAGTTACAGAAGATGGATCTTCATCCCTCTGCAACCCTTAGGATTAAGGGTTCTCTTATAAAAGGAAGGGGGAAAATGTCAGAGGCTTTTAAACCAGAGTGACTTTATCATGTATAGAGGCTGGGTAAAATGAGGCTGAGACCTACTAGGCTGCATTCCCAGGAGGTTAGAGCATTCTTAGTCACAGGATGAGATAGGAGGTCAGCACTAAATACAAGTCATAAAGACCATGCTGATAAAGCAGACTGCAGTGGAGAAGCCAGCCAAAACCCACCGAAACCAAGATGATGACAAGAGTGACCTCTAGTTGTCCTCACTTCTCATTATACACTAATTATAATGTATTAGCATGCTAAAAGACATTCCCACCAGCACTATGACAGTTTATAAATGGCATGGCAATGTCAGGAAGTTACCCTATATGATCTAAAAAGGGGAGGAAGCTTCACTTCCAGAAATTGTTCACCCTTTTCCTGGAAAACTCATGAATAACTCACTCCTTGTTTAGCATATAATAAAGAAATAACCATAAAAATGGGCAGCCAGCAGCCCATGCTGCTGCTCTGCCTATGAAATAGCCATTCTTTTATCCCTTTACTTTCTTAATAAACTTGCTTTCACTTAAAAAAAAAAAAAAAAGTACAGGCTCTGAAATCACACATGTGAAAGAAAACCTTAGGCAAATAGTTTAATTTCCAAAGTCTTAGTGTCCTTCTCTTTAAATGGAGATACTACCTCTTTCAAAAGGCAATTGTGAAGATCAAATGACAACCTGCACCTAGCACAGAACCTGGCACATCTGAGCACTCAATAAACATTCCTTGATCCTACCAGTATTCTCATAATCACCATAGTTTTGTCTGACTCCCTCTTTTCAAATTAAGTGGTACTCTGGGATATTGGGGTTAACCCTGTCCAAGGGCTGCTTTGTTGGACACTGTCAGTAGAGACAGAATGTGTAAGTTTAGCAGTATTTTCAAGTAAAAAGCATAAAGGAACAATTCAGATGGTAGCCAATGGGTGAAAGAAGATAAAATAAAATATTCAGAGAAATTACCTAAGATACAGTGCAGCTGCTATAGCTTTGATTTATGACTAACATCCTAGGACAGAGATGGGGAGGAAGCTGATAAACAGAGGCTATGACCTGCTGTGGGCA
Source organism: Homo sapiens (assembly GCF_000001405.40). Lineage (NCBI taxonomy): Eukaryota > Metazoa > Chordata > Mammalia > Primates > Hominidae > Homo > Homo sapiens. The sequence continues at coordinate 169,398 of NT_187578.1, forward strand.
ATAATGTTTCAGGATCTCAGGTGCCACTTCACAGATGGGACATAGGTGTTGCCTGGTTGGGTTCTGAGTATCTGGGTTTAGTGGGGCTGAGCTGAGACAGCCAAAGAGAAAGCACATAAATATCCAAGGGAGAGAATGTGTCTGGCTTCAGACCTTACAGATCAAAATTGTCTTTCCAGATAAAGGTCTAAAAGAGAGAGCTGAATAAATCAAACAAGAGGTGACGAGAAATTGAGGAGGAAGTGAAGCACAGAAGATCTGAGACTGATATCTGCACTGGGAAGGGATATCTGGAACTCTCTCTCTCTCTCTTTCTCTCTCCATGGGTTCTGGGGTTGCACATTGGTTGAGATAAAGATGAATTTCAGTTGGACCAGCAGATATTGGAGAATGATGAGAGCAGCAGTTAAGGAAGGTAGGGGAAATATTATGGAGCCTACTTTAGATCATGCTAAGGGGTTTCTATTTGAGCCTGTAGACAATGTTGATCAGATTTCTGTTTTACAAAGACAACCCTTAAATGCTTCACCTTATCCCCACAGTCCTAATTAATTGTCTTTGCTTCTCATTCCCACACAGCTTGGCTCTTGCCACATCGTGACTTATTTTTTATTTTTTTTCTATGACTATCTTTCTCCTTCCAACTGTGAAATTTCTTGAAGGCAGACCCTATGTCTTTGACTTTGATGCCATGTTTTTTTTTGTTTTGCTTGTTTGTTTTTTAAGACAAAGACATGGCAGGTAAAATTCAAATTTGGATGACATCCATGAAACATGAGAAGTTCGTTTCTAGAAGCTCCTGAAGGACTTGGGCTTGGGGCTCAGAGAGTAAGTTGCTTCTCTCCAATACTAAAATCAAGCCCCTGGGAATGGGCCAGCCAAATTGGACATGCAGCACCAGGAGCTTTCTGAGAGTATTTTTCTATTTCTTTTTCATCTCTTTTCTCCCCAGCCTTACCATGTTCTTGTCCACAGAGGTCAACATATGTTTAGTACATGAAAGGCGGATACCTCTTCTTTGAAGAGTAATTTGTGGACAGGGCCTTCAGAGTAGTGCTTTCCCTTGTGTTATGGTATCCTTGTGTTCCAGGGTGGTAAGCTGCTTTGGCAATGTGGCAGCCCACTGGTCTCCTGGGAGATGCTTCAAGAGTAAGCCATTTCACACCGTGCTGCCTGGGGAGCTCAGAGCAAACCCTGGCCATCAGATATGGCCAGTGGAGGGCAGCAGAGGGCTGCAGAGCATGGTCCAGTGTCCCTCTGGAGGTGATGGAACTATCAGGACAGGTATCTGCATGTGAGAGTGCAGGATTGACAGGAAAATGCCTATCAGCAATCAAGAAGAACCAATAGATTCTTCGGAGAAAGATCAGGCTGTAGAGATATTGAGGAGCTGGCACCTTGAAAACCCTGAAGTAGATTAGGGAATATCAATGGGAAACTAGAAACTCAGCATGTGGAGTAAGGACCAGCCTAACACCATAACAATAATACTTCTGCCTTCTGCAGATCACCAGAGGCCAGAGCTGGATGAGATGCCTTCCAGAGGACCTCGAAGATAACCTCAATTGGCCTTTTTGCCCCTCTATCTAGCTTAGAGAATGCAGTGGCTCTGGGCTCTGGAATAATAATCTCCTCCCCATCCTTCTTCACTTCCCTCCCCACCCAAACCACCCATTTCTGTCTCATCTGTGGTTTCATACTCAACTGTGGAGGCTAGTGCCATACATAGGTGAAAACTCAGGTTATCAGTGGCTACTCAACAGCCTCACTAGTGGCCAATCTAACCTCACTTTACTGCCATAATTAGAAGTTAGCAGGTGTTTCTACTTTTAGCCTCTGTTTTATTGGCTTTGCTTACTGGCTAAAACAGGTCTTGGGATTCTTTCTGTGGCTGATTAAGTCACACATCTTGACACCTAAAGTGATGTTCCAGCCAAAATATATTTGCACATGTAATAATAAAAATAATCATCTGCCACATATGAGAAAGAGACAGAAATCTCTCACAATTTATTTTCCATTTTATTTTTACTCCTGTTAGCACCTTCACTCTAGCCAATGGAATCCGTTGTTGTGAGTTCCTATTGTTAGCCTTGATGGCTAGATTTGCTGATATTACTGGCATTAGGCTTTGCAACTTATTTCAAGGAAAGATAACATTTGGATGTCCACATTTTTGTTCAAGGTCACTGGCCAATTGTATCTTATCAATGTCTTTATCCTTGTATCATCTATATTTATTACACCTTAAGGAAGCATCATAAATATCCTTATTGGCTAGAGCCTCACTTCCTTGTGAGGCATCTTTTTCAATGACTTATCCTTGCCTTTCTGTTCATAGTTGGTTAGCAACAGGTGCAGTTGAATAAATGGGTGGGTATGTGTCTATAAGATAAGTGCCATCTCCTTCTTTTATCTTAAGATATTTCCATTTCTTCAGCTAAACAATGGAGATGATTACACCACCATATGCTCCCCTCCTTCAACAGATGTAAGTGTGGGGTCATCACCAAAGAAAGGGTTTGAGGACCAGTTACTCAGCCACACATCCCAAATGGCTTAAGAATCTCTGTATTCTGGAAGAGAATATGGCCCTATGAGGGCCTTCCTATTATATCCAGAATTTAGTGACTTTTTCTTCCTATTACCATAATCACATCCATTGCATTGGACATATGGTGGCTTAGAGGACAGAATTAGAATTAATCAGTGAGTGGCTATTACAGGGAAACAAGGACTCAACTTAAATAGCATTTTCTAAGTTAAACTTGCCTAAAGATTGATGGGGCTGATTCACAAGGAGGTGAACTATAATCCTGGGGGTTTTAGGTAGAGGGGAAGACCAATTGTCACCACTGGTTCTCTCTGATGGCCAGATCAGATTCTTTGTAAAGTCTTCTGTAGCACTTGGGACACATAATAATTACAGGCTTCTAAAATGGGTTTCTAACAAGTTACTACTGTTACCTGAAATCATAGCCAGCAGAATAGTGCAATGCATTTTAAAAACAATATCTAACTTCTTTTTATCAGATGAGGAATATATTAGCATTCATTGAGCTCCTATGTATCAGATATTGTGCTAAGCACTTTACATCCTTTAATGCTTGCAACAACCCTGTTAGGCAAGGGTTATTCTTTTCATTCCACAGGTAAAGAAACTGAGACTCAGAGCATTTAAGTCAGTTGTCTAAGTTCACATCATAGTAGAACCCAAATCTGTAGCCAGATCTCTCTGAATAGCTGTCTTTTCAACGCACCAGGCCACCTTTTATGAAGAAATAAAGGCTATGCTGACCAAAGCTCTGTTCTCCTGAGTATTACCATGCATTTTAGTTGCAAATAATATTTAATACAGTAATACATAATCAAGGAGTATTTTTTTTGTCAATGACTGCAGGGTAAACCTACCTTAGCTTCATTCTACATTCACCTCAGAATGTGTGTATAGTCAGTTTTCACACTGAATGTCAGCAAATGGAGTGGATATGGTGCTCAAAGAAGGCAAAAAATAAGTGATCATCTTAGATTTACAAGAGTTGCAAAAATTTTATAACCAGCTATGCTGTAAGAATTGTGAGTGTGGTCAAGTAAGACTAGTGAATTCTTCCAGAAGGTAGCAGCTTTTTCCCTTGCTATTACACTGGCTGAGTATCTACTCTTCTTTAGATATAGGATATGCACTAGGGAAGCTGTTTGAAGACTGATTACAAATGTGGCCATGACAATGTGGTTAAGTGATTTCATTAATATGTAGTTTAAAGAACAAAAAGGCCAGTGCCACACCAAGGAACATGGAGGTAGCATTTTCCAATACTGTCTAGAAAGCTGGAGCATGTCCAAATAGTTAGCCTTTGGGTATTTATTTCCTTTGTATGAAAACAGACATTGAAACTTGCTTTGTATTCATTTGTTTTTCAGGTTAGTTATTGCCATTTGCTTTGAACGTGTATAAAGGGATTTTTCAGAAGTAGCATGTGAGCTGTAACAAGGAATCTTATCTGGCAATCTTCCCTGATCTGTCACTGAAGGCTAATCTCACCACAGGAACACTGTCATACATCATAAAGATATATACCCTTTCCAGGCATTTTAAAACATATTTATTTTTCCTTCGTTTTACAAATACTGACTGTCTACAATTGTTGGTTTTAATAATATTACCAGCAAACAGTTAATTGCACTTGCTGTGTGCATGGCATGGTTCTAAGAGCTTTTTATCTCACAAGAACTCTGAGATGAATCTCATTTTCCAGAAGTGGAAACTGTATAAAGCTTAATTTTTTTTCTTAATAGACTAGGAAAAAATAAGGTTAATCAAAATCTCTGCAAGCTTTAAGGTTGATATTTAATTTAAAACAAAACAAAAACAGTTTCAAAGTAGTATATTCCCAACGTTATCTGTAGAGTCATATTTATTGTTCACCTTAATGTTCAGTCATCACTAAAGATTTCTGTAGCTAATCAGAATCAATGGAGCCACTAAATTTATTGTGAAATAAATGACATCCCTATGAAAAATACTCTGTTCTAAATATGACCCAGGACAAACTCTGAATTAGAGCTGTTGCATTTTGTATACTACTGTACTTCCATCTTCATTAACACCTAGCCAGTCTTTCTTCTAACACCTAGTTAGCAACTGGTTACTGTCAAAGACTGCTGTGTTTCAGTTCTGTCCAGAGGAGCTAGATCTGTATTTGTCTACATCTGTTTCCAGAATTGCAAGTAGTAACTTTTAATATAAATAGCTTTTCTTAAGTACAATGTTTTGGGGCCTCATAAAAGCACTCTTCCCTTAGACCTGAATGTAACATCGGTATGGTAGATTCACCTGGGCTTGTGCCAAGGAATTACTGTTCTGAAGCTTCTCAAGGTCTTTGTTATAGATGGTTCTCCCTATAAGCCATATCAATATATCTCTATATTTTCAAAATCCGAAATACTGTTCTATGCTCTCAAATTGATACCAAACATTAAAAATCTGAAAGTCCTCCCAAATTAGGAATATTGAATAGCTCTATCTATAAGTTAGTCCCGAACTAACTTATAGAACTATAAGTTAGTGTCTTGAAGACACTAAGAAGTAGAATATTTTTATGGTTAGGTCTCTGAGCTTGGAAATCAGATGGCCTGAGTCTGATCTGGCCTGTATGGGCAACTGTGGGTTACCATAAATGTAATGTGTCCAGTGATAGATGGGTGCTCACAGGATAGTAGGGAGCCCATGGAGAGGGGTTGTTGGGGTGATCAGACCCAACACCAGGTCGTGGGGGTGATGAAGTCTGGCGGAGTCAAAGGATTGAGAAAAAGACAGTTTGAGAAGTAAAGTGGGACCAGGGGGCCATTGTGATTGTGGAGGCTGTGAAGGCCCTGAGCTCTGGGAGCCCACACTATTTATTGGTAATCCAACAAAGAAATAGGTGGTGAGAATGTGGAGGTCAAAGGGCACGTTGCTTTAAGCACATGATTTACAGCTGGGATGGCTTAGCATTTGCTCTGCTACTTGAGATAATGGAGAGCAAGTTCTTTTAACTCAAAATACAATCAATGCTGGGAGAGCAAGGAGCCAGCAAGTCTAGACAAATTCCAGAGCCACGAGCCCTGGATTCTATCCAAGTCACGAGGGATTTTATGCCCTGGGCTTAGATTATAGTGCGTCAGGGTAGCCTTCCACCTTTAGCACAGAGCTTGGTGTTCCAAAGGCCACAAGGGGTTTTAGACCCTGGACCTCAGACATGTTCCAAGACTCTTTTACATTATGTCAGACATGCAAGCCCTGCCTCAGCTTCTCCCGACACTCAGCTTTACCCAACATGCCCCCCTTCTCTTTTTTGTAAAACAGAAGGTATTATTATTACTATCATTATTACTAGCTATCATTATTTCTAGCATAAAAGGTGGCCTCTTTTAATTGAGCAAGGCACTTTCATGCTCTGCAGCCTTTAATTGCCGGTTGGTGATCCAGCTTCATTTTTCTTAGCCCTTATTCAAACTGGAGTCGCTCTGGTTTGAATACTTCCCACACATCTCCCCTTTCCCTTTTTCAAGAGGACCCTTAATTCTAGCGGTTGCAGAAGGATGAAGGTCCCTCTTCTGTAACTTCTTCATGCTGAATAGGGGTGATGATACTCCTGCCTAACTGTTCAGTTCTCTTGTATTCAGGGTAGAGAGAAGCTCAGTCAGAAAGCATTGGTCCATTAAGCATCTGTAGGTAAAACCCTGGTGCTCCAGCAGTTTTTCAGCTTCCTGTGCGGTTTTCTTGATCTGTTCCCATGTCATGGGGATTGCACCTACATGGTTCATTCATCTCCTGCAAAAACACAAGCATACCCTCACCTCCATATTAGTAAATCTAATGAAACAGAAGCAAAAACATTTTTGGCTGTAGCCAGGAGGCCACTGATAATGAGAAACAGGCCCCTTCTAACAGAAGGCACAGGGAAAGCAAATCAAGGCTTTTCAAACCTTCAATTCACACCGTACAGGTGGGCCCACTAGATGCTGTGGCTCAGGATAGATCTTCAGATGTTTCGTGGGCACCCACACAGGCACCTGATCATCACCTGAAGAGACTCAAGTAAATCCTCTTCCCCATATAGTTATCTTTCCTTTTTCCCAGCTCTTTGTATATGACCATATTTTTTTCTAAGGCCTGCGGCCTTAAGATGAGTTAACGAATGGAATGCTTGTGCCAGCAAAGACCGCAGAAACCAATGCATCCACCCCTTGATTAAGTTTAGTTAAAGGACCAAAAGGTCCTGGAGAGAAAAGAAAGAGCATTTTTATCCTTACCTCCCTCCCCTCCATTCCTTTTATATTTGCCCTTTGAGCCATAGCTAATTTCCATAATTCAGAATGTTCTTGTCTGTCCCTGCAAATCTCTGCTAGTCTTTGCTAGTCTCTACTTTTGTACCTCTTTAGGGCACTGACCTTATATTGCTAGTCTTTGCTTTTGTACCTCTTTAGGGCACTGACCTTATATTGCTAGTCTTCATCTATCCCTATCTGTCCCTGTGGTACCTGTTAGTTCCTGTGAGTTCCTGCAAGTCCCTATCTCTATTTATCTCTATCTCTATTTATCTCCACTTTACGTACTTGTCTCTACTTTACTTACTTACTTGTCTCTACTTTACTTAACTTACTTATCTCTACTTACTTACTTGTCTCTACTTACTTACTTGTCTCAATTTATCTCTGCTTACTTACTTATCTCTACTTACTTACTTATCTCTACATCTTTCCTGGAAACCTTTTTTATGACCCTGGGTAGAGCTCAGAAATCCATGCTTTAAGCTTCAGCAAGAGACAAAACAGGGACCCTGGACCCAGCACCAGATTGAAGGGAATAGGAAGTGCTGTCTCCTGCCTAAAGCAGGAAAACCAGAGTTAGGCCCTTGCAAATTTCCACTCCACATCAGAGTCATCCTCAATTTCCTGGAATAAGTTGTTGATCATGGCAATTCACATATTTAGCAAAACAATGACCATTGTAACATTACAGGCCCCATAAAGAACATAACCAATATTTTCAATGAATTTGTGGTTATAATTGATGACCACTGATTTCACTTCAGAAAGTCCAAATATAGCCCAGAACATTGTCTTAAAACTCTGTTGTGAAGGCTTCATTTTGTTTTCCACCAATGTAGTAGGAGTAGAGGTTGAACATTCCCATCATAAAGGCCACAAACACCACAATGAACACATTCAGCCCATATCATGCCTGTGTGCTCATTAAATCTGTTTTTCTCTAGCAGAGGCAGGTTAACCATGAAACTGAAGCTTCAAGATGGCTTTACTTGTCCTATGCAAAGCAGCCCATGATTTATTTTTTCTGGGGACTACTGCCAACCAGGCCTGTGTGTCAATCTGTAAGCATCCAACAGCAGGTCTACTGTACAAATAGGTCTTTTGTCAGATACTTGATTAACCCAATATAGAGCCTTTCCTGTTGGATTAGTACTACCAAAGCCTCCTGTTCTTTTCACTGTGCTGCTTCCCAGCTTTATGTCAACAACTGAGCAATTCTTTCTCCTGGGGAAGCAGACCATGCAGTTGAGGAACTAATAACTAATTGAATTTCTCTGGTATAATCAGAACCAATCATTCCTGTATGCACAGTGACACCCTTCAAATTTAGACCAGACCTTCTAAGCAATAGACCAACTGTTCCTGAGGGCAAGCGTCCCCTAACTCCCATAGGGACCTTTTTTGGTGGCTCTCCAGGAAGTAGGGAGATGGGAATTGTGCTGCAGAGGTCCACAGCAGCACTGCCTGCCACGGCGGGAGACAATTGTTGCCGTTTGTAAGGGCACTGACTGTGCCAGATATGCCTCGGTTTATTGAGGTGCCCTCTGAATAAACAAACCTCAGATTCCACTGGGTCTTAGCACTACCAATTGCTCCAGGTTTTAATGTTGCAGCTACAGGAGTGGTAAGTTTTATAGCTAATTGATTTTCTCTCCCATTAAGGAGAGAAAGAGGAGGTGGCTATTCACTTAATTCAGCAGGTGGAGCTGACAGGCTAGTAAAACATACTTTTTTTCAGTTTCTCTTTCATTTAATTTCCTCCAGTTTCTGTTCCTCACATTCAGAATCTGAAGTTAGTTGTGTATGCTCATCCTCCTCTTCCTCATCTGAATCTGCCTTATCGTCTGTTTGAAATGGCTCAAGAGCTGCTTTTATTAGTGCCCACATTGACCAAACTGAGACTGGAATTTTTGTATCATCTTTATACGCTTTTTTAAAATCTCTGCCAATTCTCTCCCATTTATCCAACTCCATAGTCCCTTGCTCTGGGAACCATGGGCAAAACTGCTTTACTGCACTAAAGAGTGATAAGAAATTCTAAGTACTAACTTTCACTCCCCCTCTTTGTAATAAATGCCTTAAGAAAAATAAGCAGAATGTCTGCTTTCAATTTGTCCCATTGTTACCCTCGTTCTTCCAAGTACTCAACTTTCCCGCTGAGCTTCTTTTAGACATCCTCGGGTGTCCTTTGACGATGTGTCCTCTGCTTTCATACGCTCTAGCGTTCCTTCACCAGGGTCTTTGTCACCCCATGTTGGGTGCCAGGAATGTTTGTGTGATCAGACCCAACACCAGGTCATGGGGGCAACGAAGTCCGGCGGAGTCTAAGGATTGAGAAAAAGACAGTTTGAGAAGTAAAGTGGGACCAGGGGGCCATTGTGATTGCAGAGGCTGTGAAGGCCCTGAGCTCTGGGAGCCCATGCTATTTATTGGTAATCCAACAAAGAAACAGGTGGTGAGAATGTGGAGGTTGAAAAGGCACATTGCATTAAGCACATGATTTACAGCTGTGATGGTTTAGCATTAGCTCTGCTACTTGAGATAGTGGAGAGCAGGTTCTTTTAACTCAAGATACAATCAATCCTGGGAGAGCAAGGAGCAAAGAGCCAGCAAGTCTAGACACATTCCAGAGCCACGAGCCCTGGATTCTATCCAAGCTACGAGGGATTTTATGCCCTGGCCTTAGATTATGGTGTGTCAGCGTAGCCCTCCACCCTTTAGCACAGAGCTTGGTGTTCCAAAGGCCATGGGGGGTTTTAGACCCTGGATCCTGGACATGTTCCAAGACTCTTTTACATTATGTCAGACATGCAAGCCTTGCCCCAGCTTCTCCCAACACTCATCTTTTCCCAGGAAGGGGTGGGGTAAATGAGGAGAATGAAACAGATAGATAGTTAGAGGATCATTTCAAGAGGATGAGGGATGAGAAATAGAGAAAGAGAGTAGGAAGAATTAAATCCATCAGATATTGGGCTGTGTAGGTGATACTGGGCTGAGGTGCAGGTAAGGATTAAGGTTAACAGAATTTCTAGAAAAAGTAGTTCAGGAATTTTACTGGGATCTAGAAAACATTAAGCACTATGAGAATTGTGCTTATTGAGATATATTGTGATATTGAGAATTTTCTTGGGGAACATGGGCTCTGTGTCTAGAGATATATTTAAGGAAAAACTGGGACCATAGTTTTAAAGAACCAAGTGGTCTGTGGCTTACATTGGAACACAAACCAGAACATTCAGCTGTAGAGAAATTCAAAGGAAGAAAAACTTCACTGGAATCATGATTCTTCCCAATGTATCTTTATAGATTTTTGTTTAAATTCAGAGAAGTTATTTCTTTAAAAGGATGAGTACTTATTTTTAAAAGTGCATATAAATCATTTTTTCCTTTGAGATATAATAATAATCTTACCTACTCTTGCCAAACTCTTGTCATATTTGAACCAATCTATGGCAGGCAGTTTACTGAGTGCCAAATTCAGTTTCCATTTGCTGTTTTAAAGGCATGGTAGACCTGAACTTTCTTGAAAGCAGCAAATAGATACTGTGTTTGGTACTCAGCCGAGTGCAGGTTTAACATGACAGGAGGGTGATGTTTTTTCTGTTGATGTGCCCAAGTTAATCTGAGTTATCTCTCCAAATACATAGGTAGGTATTATCAATTTCTCTGCCTAAATCCATGTAATCTGCAGGGTTGACAACTTCTCTGGTGAGAGCTTTGAAAGTGGATGATTCCATAATACTCTGTCTTATTGTTTGATGAGGGTAATTCACAACATAACCCTCTGTGATGAGGAATAGAGAGGTTAAAATGTGTACTCAAGTTAACTCAATCAATAGAGGACTTTGAAACCCCATCTTTTTCCTCTCTCTAATAATACAAATCCTGTTGTTCTCTCAAAGTTGGTACAAAGCTGATCTATTCTTAGAAGCTAAACCTGACCAACTATACTTAATAATGCCTAACATATCATATATAGATATTATATAATATTAATCCTTCTTATATCTCACAGATCATAGATATAGATATACATCTGTACTAAAGGTGTTCTCATTACTTTATTGTCTCCCCAGGTAGATTTTGAACCATATAGGGTAGAGTTCCTTGTCCTCTAATTCTTTAGTGCTCCCATGCCCTCTTGTTCATTATAGAGCACACTGTAGGGGCCCAAGAGATCCTTGTTTAAAATTTAAGACTGCCTATATCAAATGTTGGCAAAGTGATGGAGCAATTGGAACTCTCATTCACCACTGGTGATAATGTGAAATGGTACATCCACCTTAAGTAACAGTTGAGAAACTAAAAAAAAAAATGTTACCCATGCACCATATGACCCAGCCATTCCATTGCTAGATATTTATCCAAGAGAAATGAAAGCATATGTCCACACAAAAACCTGTAAACAATTGTTCATAGTAGTTGTATTTGTAACAGCCCAGAACTAGAAACTACCCAAAAACCTATCCACTTACAGGTGAATGGATAAGCAATTCTGGTATATCCACACACTCAGCAATAGCAATAAAAAAAAAGGGAAAAAGCTGGGTGCAGTGTCTCACGCCTGTAATCCCAGCACTTTGGGAGGCCGAGGCGGGTGGATCACGAGGTCAAGAGATCGAGACCATCCTGGCCAACATGGTGAAACCCCGTCTCTACTAAAAATACAAAAAAATAGCCAGGTGTGGTGGCGGGCGCCTGTAGTCCCACCTACTCAGGAGGCTGAGGCAGGCGAATGGTGTGAACCTGGGAGATGGAGCTTGAAGTGAGGCGAGATCACGCCACTGCACTCCAGCCTAGGCGACAGAGCAAGACTGTCTCAAAACAATAAAAAAATAAATAAAAGGGAAAAAAATTCATACAATAACATGGATGAATCTCAAAATAATTATTCTAATTGCAGAAGATAGACAACAAATAATATATATTAATAGTATTCCATTTACGTAAAATTCTAGGAAGTGCAAACTAATGTATTTTGACAGCAGTTAATGTAGTTGCCTGGGGATGAGAAAACAGAGCATTAGATAAAGGACAACGATGAAACTTTTTGGGGATATGGAAATGCTCATTATCTTGATTATGGTGATGGATTCATGGGTATATACATATGTCAAATGTCATCAAATTTACACTTTAAATATGTTCAGTTTATTTGTCAATTATACCTCATGAAGCTGGGGGAAAAAGCAAAAAAAATTTGTACAGAAACTATTCTGCATCTCCCTTTAGTATTCCACTGTCTCCATGTTTTCATGGTGAGAAGCTCCTGCTTTGAGACAATCACACAGATGACGCTGAGCAGATTGGGGGCATTCAGGTCAGACAGAGCTTACATGATCCAAGCTCTGCCACTTTATCAGCTGCATAACCCCAGGAAAGTTACTCAGCATCCCTACACCTGTTTTCTCTTCCATAAAATGGAGCTAATTATATGCCAACCTCAGAGGGATGCTTTAAAAACTAATTAGATTAAATGTCTGGCACTTCATAGATGGTAGCTATCACTATTAGATACATGTTATTACATATTGTTAAGCACTTATTTTTTGTGAGACTGGCACAAATTTACTGAGAACTTTCTCAGTTTGATTTTAATTCTGCTGATTCCCAACCAATTACTAATAATAAAGCAACTAACAAAGAATGAGCAGACTATGGCTCAAAATATAGATAATACAAAATCACTTCTGGGCGCTTATCTTCTCCATTCTCCATCACTTGTGCTAAGCTGAGTTGGCAACATATGTTCAAGTGTGTTCAGATGTTCTCAGTAGAGAATAGGATAATACAGAGAAAGTGTATCAGGTGCAAAGAGAGATTTAATAAACTGGTCGAGAAGTACTTGAAAAAGTATGTGTTTTGGTTTTGACAGGTATGGCTTTAAATATGAGCTCAGCCTCTTACTACTTACAGAGGAAGCCCTGGACAGGTTATTAAACATCTATAAACCTGAGTTTATGCATGTGTAAAATGTAGATAAAGGTACACACATCACAAATTTGTTGTGAGAATAATAATCATGTTAATATTAGAAATAATTTTAACGATAAATATGTGCTTAATGGCCTCTACTTCCCTTCTCATTCTGGATGAGGCCAATTGCATAGTTAATAATGATAATCATGTGATTTAACCTGACCTTGACGGCATTTTAAAAACATTGCCTATTGTAATGCCCTGGTACAGCATTCTGTAAACTCATTCTGGAATAATCATGGGTATGCGTGAATGCAGGGAGAAATGAGATTACCTGAACTCCTGAACCCGCTCATTAATATTTCTTTTAAGGGGAGAATACCTGTCATATTTGAAACCTAAGCTGAGGAGGGTAGCTAAAGCAGTATTTTTGTTTAAAAGTAGTGAAGACAGGTGCCAAAACCCAAGCCTCTAATTCCTAAGGCAATTCCAAATTCCTTGACCCCAGCTGTGTCTGTTGTTGAGCTCATCAGGTTTAAAGGGGCCACCTGAGGAGGACTTTTAGGACTCAGAAGTTCTATTAGGGAAGTAGAAGCAGAAAGTGAGCCAGATGGAGCTGGAATGTAGAGGACTCGTCGTGAGCGGGGAGCCCACTTGGTCAGCTCAGTGAAGGCTCTCCCTCAGACGCCAACATCTACATGCGGATATGGAAGGTTTGCCAACACTTACCTTCTTTTTCTTAGCTAACTTTCCACAGAGTCTGAGAAAGGTACATATTGTAACCTAACTTTTCAAAGGAAGAATTAAATTCTAGAGAAACAGGTAGTGAAGAACTTCGCTTTGAAAGAAATTGTTTGTAAAGAGTTAAAACCATGGACTCTGTACTCAGATTACCTGGGTTCAGTTTTTAGCTTTGCCACTTACTGGCTGTGTGGTCTGGTGCCAGTTACTTAATCTTTCTCTTGGTTTCCCTATCTGTGAAATGGTGATAATGATAGTGTCTGCCTCATAGCATTGTTCCCAGCACTGATATGAGTTGAAACAAGGTGGTCACAACAGTATCTGGCTTATAGCAAGTGCTGTATTTGTGTTGGTAAAAGAAGCTGTGGTGTATTGGGATTATCTTGGTTTTCCATAACTACATTTGTCTTAGACTATTTGGATAGTAATGTCTAGTGACGTTGTAGTGGTTTTTAAACACAGATAGTTTGGAAACTGAGGGGGCACTGTGCCTTCTCAGTGTCCCCTCATTGGACAACACTATTTCACTGTTGTTCAATGTTTTCAGCTTAAAGAACATCCTCCTTCCACACTAGAAGGAGGATGACTATTGTATGCCTACGATACTTGAGTTTATCCCTGTAGGAAAGTGAAGAAAACTAGAGCAAAGTAAAATTCAGTGCTAAAAAGAAATAAGCTATCAAGCCATGAAAAGACATGAAAATTAAAGTGCATATTACTAAGTGAAAGAAGTGAATCTCAAGAGCCTAAATATTGTAAGATTTCAACTATATGTCATTCTGGAAAAGCAAAATTATGGAGACAATAAGGAGGTCAGTGGTTACCAGGAGTTGGGGATTGGGGAAGAGATGAATAGGCAGAACACAGAGAATTCTGAGGGAGGTGAAATTACTTTGTATGATACTATAATGATGGATACATGTTATTACCCACATATCCAAACCCAAAGAATATATAAGCCAAGAATGAACCCTAATGTAATCTATGGACTCTGGATGCTTATGATGTGTCAGTGTAAGTTTATCAGTTGCAATACTGCACCACTCTGGTGGGGGATATTGTTACTGGGGAAGGCTCTGCATATGTATGGGCAGTGGGTATATGAGAAATATCTAAACCTTCCTCCCAATTTTGCTGTAAACCTAAATCTGCTTTATTATTAAGTCTTAATAATAAAAGAATGCATTAGTGAATTCCAGTACTTAAGTGGACTTTTTCATCCCTTCATTTTTCCTCAGTCTCTGGAACTTGTCTCTGTCTTGAATAATTTTAAGCAAGGATTATGGTTGTGTTCTCTCAGGTCTAAATTTAGCCACCAGATTCAATCATGCTACAAAGCTGTGCAACTGAATTAGTGTTTAGCTGTGATAGAAATCCCTTGGGAATCAAGTTCCAATTAGGAAACTTAGATAAGCTTGAGTAACAGTCTTAGGAATAAAATGATTTTTTTCTTTCTTTTTCCATATATAGAATTTTCCCCATCAATACCCACTTTGATCCACAAAATTTCCTTTACCACACATGGTCTGTCTCTCTTATATTACACATGCTTGAAATTGATCTTATACTTTAATATTATTTTCTTTTTAATAAGCATAGTTTTCAGCTGCTGGGAAGAATATAGATCTAATTATTTCCCCTGAGTTTATGTACATTATGAAAGAAAATTTGCTGTAATTAAATCATTAAAGCACTATAACTTGTAGTAACATGAGAACGCAGGAAAGTGAACAGGTTGAATTTGGCCTCCAATATCAAATGGAACTAAATTTGAATTCTAGCTTCACCATCTGAAACCTTTTGTCATTTGATAAATTATTTAACTTAAACTCCAATCACTTTAGCTGCAAAAACTGAATAATAGTTGGATCTACTATACATGATATTTACATGGCTAGTTTTAGGCGATCATGATTAAATGATATGACATATACAGGTGCTTAGTGTATTGCCTGGCATCAAGTGAACACAGTAAAGAGTAAGTAACACTGTATCATTGTTGTTCAATGTTTTCAGCTTAAAGAACATCCTCCTTCCACACTAGAAAGAGGATGACTGTTGTATGCCTACTATACTTGAGTTTATCCCTGTAGGAAAGTGAAGAAAACTAGAGCAAAGTAAAAACAGGCACTTAAGCCATATAGCAGAATAGTATGGTGGTTATAAGCTTAGACAACCCAGGTGCAAGTCCCAGCTCCACTCCTTACTACTCTGAGTTTTGGCAAGTTGCTTAACCTTGCTGTGCTTCATTTTCTCCATTTACAAAATTGGATCCGTAATACTATCTATTGGGTAGTCGTGAGAATTAAGTAAGATGATATACACAAGGCACTTGGCGCATAGAACTGGCTCATGGAAAGCATTCAAATATTTGAATTACTAATATTCAAGGACAGTTGAGGAAATCACAGATTGTTAGCCTAACTAAACTCAAGTTTAGATTTGGAGTTCTAGGAAATGTTCAGGAGTTTTGTTCTACTGTATAAAGATGAAGTTGGCATCTGCTAATAGTTTCTGCCAGCCTTCAAGCCAAACTGACTATATCTGTGTGTTAAGCCTTTACTGACTGCTTAAGAATTATAGAAAATATGAAAGTTTAACACTTAAGGAATTTGCTATTTAAAGAGACAAGCCTAAGTCATAGAAAATAATTTGAGGAGAGCATCAGATAATACAGTCCAAGTGTCAAGTGATATATTGTGGTCTGTAAGAACAGGATTTTTTTTTTTTTTTGAGACCATTCCTTGTTCTGTCACCCAGGCTGGAGTGCAGTGGTGTGACCTGGGCTCACTGCAACCTCTGCCTCCTGGGCTCAAGTGATCCTCCTACCTCAGCCTCCCAAGTAGCTTGGACTACAGGCATGCCCCACCATGCCTGGCTAAATTTTTTATTTTTTTGTAGAGATAGTGTTTTGCCACATTGCCCAAGCTGGTCTTGAACTCCTGAGCTCAAGTGATTTGCCCACCTCAGCCTCCCAGAGTGCCGGGATTACAGGCAGGAGCCACCACACATGGCTAGAACAGGAAAAATTGAAAGATGAACTTCAATTGTTCAGTGTATGGCAAATAACTAAAAGATTTTGGAAGGTGGTAGAGATGGATTCTACTTCTAGTCCAACAGAACAGCAAGAGCAAATGTGTGGGACACGGTGGAACTGGGCCTGGTACGGAGCAGCAGATGAATGATAAACCTTGGGAGAATCAGAGGATATCTGTGGGCAAATAGTGGGACGTGGGGCTGGGTATGGCTTATGGGGCAACAGAGGACCTGCAGAGAGTCGAGCTTATGGCTCAACTCACACCCTTCCCCATTTTGCAGATGAGGTGATTGAGGCATGAAAACTATTTCTCTGTGTCATTATTAATTGGAGTCAGAGCTGGTGTTAGGTCCACCTTATTAGTCCTGACTCCCTGGCTAGTGAACTTGCAACTGCATCACAGTGTGGGATTAGAGATTACAAAGAACCTGGACTGGGGAAATTAGCTTGCTGCTATCCCCATGGTAATTTTTCTAATTTTGTAGCTTAATCGCTGCCCTTTTTCTATCCACACCATATTCCCTAAAGCGAAAAAAGCAAAGGTTAATTCATAGGCCACTCAAACAAAGGCCTTATCTAAATCCCCATTTGGGAACATTCAACCCCAAACAAGCCATTTGGTTATTAGAGTGATGGCTTAGAATCAGGTATTGATTCCCAGGCAACGTGTTTTCTATTGTATCACATCACTTGCACTTTTTACTGTGATTTCAAACTCCTCTCTTAAGGGTCTCCTTATTTCTGTCCCTGCCAGGCTAAATGGTCCAGTTTTGTTTTGTTTGGTTTTCCTACGGTGTATTTTTCTCTCTCACTTTTACCAACTACCTCAAGATCAATGACACATTATCCTCTTCCACTTAAATGAGGCTCTCAGGATTGCTCTCCCTGTAGCTCCCTAAGATCTGCTGGTTTGGAGTTTATATTCTGTTGGGTTGTGTTCCTGAATTATGTTGGTCATTAGAGTAGAAAGACGTTTCCCTTCTACTCTGAGTTACCTCCGGCTTAAAGGTTGCAGATCTTATTGCTGCAGGAGTCCTTTCTTGATAAAAGCTGGAGATTTACCTCCTTGGAGATCCCTGTTTGCTGCTACATTCTTGTACATTTTCACCTTTACATTTTTCAGTTTTCCCTTCCTGCCTCTGTCTGCCCAGCAGGCTCTCAATGAAGAAAGGAGCAGCAGGAGAGTCAGGTAAATCCTGTCCATTAACACACCCAAGGTTTATTTTAGATGGCTATGCTGGGAAGAGGAGGCAGGTCAGAAACCGTAGGCAAAATGCAAAAGCAGATAGTGTGTTCCGTGACTGAAGTTACAGGGATTTAGGAAAGTTTCTCTGATACGTTTTTCCCCCTCATCAGCTTTAATCTCTCTCCTTCACCTCTGAGTGGGTGTTAATTACTTCAGAGTTCTTTTCTTACCTCACCTCCTCCTCCTCTTCTTCCCTCCTTTAGTGGAGGGTAAATAGGAATTAGTGGGGAATAATTATCTCATCTTCTCTTTCACCATTTATTACCAGCCCACTTCCCTCTAGAATCTGATATACTACTTGTATGTTGCAAATTGCTCCAGAGTGCCTGGAAGAAACATATAATGTTCACATGAATAGCTTATGCGGTCAGTATTAGAGTTGAGAGAGTAAATACATGTATGTACACTAAATCGGAGATCTCTTTCACTGGATATATTTAAACTGGGGGACAAAAGGCTTGTAGATTCTCTTTTGCTGATCCTATTTGATGCCATTTAACACATGGTTTGTATGACAATGTCCTCTTTTCCTCTGACTTTAAGCTGCTTTTATCACCTTAGTGAAGCTTCCAATTTCTCTACCTTTACTTGTTACTATTGAATCTTTTACTCATAAATCTCTTCCTTTCTGTTCAATTTTTGGTCAATAAGGTCAGCATATGTTTATTCATGAATTGTATTTATTCTGTGTGTTTACTTTTAAGAACTTTATGTACGGAAGCATGTTGTGTTATTATAAGTCATACTAGCATGGTGAGAAATTGAACGTGGTTACCTGGCTTGCAGCATCTGGCTCTTCTGACTTATAGTCAAGTTGATCTTCTTGGGGTAGAATGATGGGTACCTGAAGCTGGGAAGGGTAGTGGGGGCAGTGGACAGGGGTGAGAGATGTGGGAATGGTTAATGGGTCTAAAAATATAGTTACATAGAATGAATAAGATCAGGTATTTGTTAGTACAACAGAGTGATTATTTTATATAATAATTTATTGTACATTTTAAAATATAATTTTACATTTTAAAATGGCTAAAAGTATAATTGGAATGTTTGTAACTAAAAAAATGATAAATGCTTGAGGTGATGGATACCCCATTTACCAGGATGTGGTTATTACACGTTGTATGCTTGTTTCAAAATATCTTATATACCCTGTACATATGTAGACATACTACATACCCATAAAAATTAAAAATGAAAAAGATGTGCTCTTCACTGAGCCTGTTCCTTAAGTCTTAAGAGCATTCAGAGAAGTGGTGTTCTTTGGCAGACTGAGGGGCAGTTCTGGAGAGAAGGAAGTGCACTGGGCTTAGAAATATGTAAAGGCAAGAGAAGCAACTGTTCAGGGAGAGGCACTATGCTGGTTTTCACTGCCAGGTGAAAAAGAAAGTCAGGGAGGAGAAGAGCACAGGTCACAAGGAATGGAAGTTGGAGGGACAAGAAATACATAGTTGGATAGGAATCGATGGAAGAAGGAAAGATTAAAACAGGAGAATGTAAAGTATAGTTAGGGACACTGATAGCCCATACTTTGCCTTGGGTAAATTAGAAAAGGATGCCAGTTCCTCTGGGTGGAGGTGGTCCTGTGTTGGGGTGTACAGCTTCGTGAGCAGAGAGTAGGCTGCTTTTTAGCTTTCATTTGCCTCCTTAGTTGGGTGTCCTTGTGCAAGGCATAGCCTGCATACTGGACATGGCAGCCTGGGGTGAACTGCTCAAGAATATCCTCTAAAGAGCAGTCTACAGCTTCTAGTATGTGGTACCACTAGAAAATAACTAGAGGCTAAAATGTAATGCAAGAAAATAGTTTGCCTCTGAAATAGTCATAATGTTTCTTTCCATAATGTATTAGGGTTTACAAATTTCCTAAACATCCATGCCTGATTTGATTCCCAAAACAGCCCTGACTGTACTGTCATACCCACTGTGTAAATGAACAGACAGGTTCAAGTTATCAGGTTATTCACAAATAATAAGCAAGTGGCCGATGCAGGATTTAAATCCAGATCCTCTGACTAAAATCCTGAGCTTTTCTGCTGTACCAGGCTACCTACACAGCACAGAGATAGCATCGATGAGGCTGTGTGTGTGAATTATCATTATTACCCCTCATGCATATGGGCAACTAAGTTATGCACATCCAGTCATTAAGACAGCTCTGTCATCTTGTACCATCTTGTCTGTCCTAGTATTATTTCCCATAATATGGAAAGTAGGCTATGGGTCAATACAGATCAGAGTTCTTGCCACTGAGGTGATTTTGAGAAATGAATTCCTGTGCCTCAATTTCCTCATTTGCAAACTGAGGTCAGTATTATCTACATCATAACTCACTGGCTTGTTAAAAGTCATGGTCATATTTCTGAATGTTAACATTTATAAGACAGGCTATATTTCACTTACTGCTGTATCCCAAAGATTAGTGTAGTACCTGGCACCAACAGGTGTTTTATATCTATCTATCTGCCTGCTTGTCTATTGAAAGAATTAATGAATTTAAAGGTTTACTGCATGCTGGGTGCTGTACTAAATGCTTTACAAATATTATTTATTTCTCATCACAGAGATGCAGGATAGATAGGACAACCTCCATTTCACAAGTAAGGAAATCAAGATACAAGATTGGTCCTAAATCTTATGCTCTTAGCTACCAGAATTATTAAATTTGAACCCCAGCCCTGGCTCTCACTAGCTGTGTGACCTCTGTTGAGTTACTTCACTCATTAGCACCAGGCACTCTGATATGTGTGCCACATCTGTTGCCTGATTTAATGCTCACAAAGTGCCTGTGAAGCAGGAATTATCACCCTCCAGTGACAGAGGATGACTAAGGCTCAGAGAAGATAATACCTTACCAGGATGATAAAGCTAAAAAGTGGCAGAACTAGGATTTGAACCTGTGTATTTCCATTTCAAATTTCATGTTTTTTCCCCAGGGTTTGGTAGGATTAAAGTTGACTCTTCATGAAATGTGACCACTTCTGTGTGCCTATCCTACCAATGGGACATAGTTGTCTTTTCATATTAAGGGAAGAGGTCTCCAGCAACTGTTTTTACCATTAGAACTCATTATAACTATTTACTTAATGCTTTCTAAGTATCATTTTTTTCATGTTGTCTAAGTATCATGTTTAATGATACCAATGTCTTCAAAGGGTGAAGAAATATAGATTATTTCACAACAAATACATGAAAAAAAAACTACCCATTGCAAAATTAATTAGTTTGCCATGAGGCCTCTTGGGATGAATACATTATAAAGACAGAACTGTGTTCACCACCATATGGAATGTTAGCCACTTTGGCTGCGCCTCTACATCCTTGGAAAGAAGCCAGTGGCATTGTCTCCCATGCGGTGAGACCTGTGAGAGTGTGCATTGCCAGAGCTAATGAGGGGTGTGTGCTTAAAGGAGAAAATGTCACCACCCAAAGACATGAAGGAGAGAGAGAATCTGACTAGTTGGTCCTCAGAAACTGGGCTTACAGTTCTTTACAAACTAAAGCTTTTCATATTTGTTTACTCTATAGACATTTAAAAAGCTATCATGATTTTTAGATTTAGACTGGAAGAAAAGATAAATTCTCATTGAGTATAGGTTCCTTTTCCCCTTCAGGATTGACAGTGTGGTGAGGAGGTAGTCAGATAAGATGCCAGGGAGTGATTGCAAAAAGAATGAATCGACAGTGTGTTACACTCAAATTGAGAGTGTTGCCATTATATTGCCATTTTACTTCCAGGTAAGCATGGAAATGTAAACCAAGAGTTATATATAATTGGCCAATGGAGTGACTATATTTTAGAAGTTAATACATTTTTAGGTTCACAGCAAAATGGAGCCAAAAGTACAGAGTTATCATATACTCCTTATTCCCACACATGCACAGTCTCCCTAGAATGGCCATTTTGAACTAAAAGATGAAAGTAGATGTGGTTTCAGAACTAAGGACTGAGGGCCTGGAATCTAGACCTGAATCTGGAATCAGCTAGAGTCTATGATCTGAAACAGCTGGAGAGCCTTTCCCTATTCTGTACCTCAACTGCTCACAGGAACAAGTGGAATAAGCATCTGCCACAAATTGCCATTCGATGGAGTTAATAAGACAAAGCTTGTGAATCTATAACCTCCTCAAATGAGAGGGATAGTATGAGTACAAAAGGAACTAGAAAGGTATCATTACTTCCCTATCCACCTACATCCCTCTCTACTCCCCACTTTGTGTCACCAAAAGGACTAAGGTTTTAAACATTCTCATAAAAATTGCTTTTGAAGAATAGATTCTGTTTTTTCTAGGGAAACAGAAAATAAGGTGAATAAGTAGAGAAAGTGGATTGCTGAAATGTACAGAAGCCAATTTGAGTTTTATTCATTCAGCAAATGTTTGTAGAGGTCTACTGTGTACTAGACTCTGGTTGTTACTGAGCAGAAAAGTTGTAGGTATTTGAAAAGCCAGCAAGGATAAAATAGCCTTGAAATCGTTAGGGTGGAAATCGGTATGCAAAATGTTCTTCATATCTTTACACGTATTGGCAAGTGGCTAAAAGGCAGCAGAAGATGCCTTACGTTTTTACAAAACAGGCTGTCTCCACAAGGACTTTCCCCCATTTAAATAGCTCTTCATCATCTCATCTGTTGTGGAAGACTAAATAGCCCCTTCTAGAAGGTACAATATGCAGCTATTTAATGACACATAATAACCTAACAGAAGCCAGTAAAATTGTTATACCCTTAGATAGTGTGGAGCAGAATAGGGATAAAAAGATAATAACCAATTACTTACAATGGAACTTGGCCAATGAGTTGTGGGGAGGATGATTTTTGTGAAAAGCATAATAAGACTTACTGAACTCCCACAGTTTGGTGTGTATGTACTCTGTCTAGTCTAGTAGGAAGGACAGTACAGTACTAGGATGATAAACTAACTGGCAATAGCAAGATGCAAGGCAGATGTGAGAAAGAGGTGGAAAGTGTGCTCTGTGAGATAAGCGACCTCAAGGTCTGCCAGAAGGCAACACTCTCTGCTTAGAGGTCTCATGATGATGACGCCTAGCAGGAATCCTGTGACAAAAGGATCCGAATATGGAAGTTTCTGTTTGGAAGAAAATATGACATTTCTGTATAATTTAACTCTATGTAGGAGTGTCATATTCTTTCAATATGAATTCCTTGACTAGAAAATAAACATTAATTACCAACCGTGAAGAACATGGCATGTTATACATTGTGAAGAGAGATCAGTCTCCTAGGAGAATCTATGGAAATCTCCTCTGGCAAAAGGGAAGATTCCACACTGTGAAAGTATTGGCTATGTTTCATGTTATTTAATCATTAGCATCATAAATTCTTAATGACTAGGAGGGTTGATATAACAAAAATAGCTGTAATTTATTGAGCATCCTCGTTATGCCAGTCACTGGGGTAAGCATTTGATGTGAATTATCTTATTTAATTCTGGGCACGATCTATGAAGTAGACATTATTACCAATGGAGGATTAGAGAGATTAAGTACTTTGCCAAAAACCACACTGCAAATGGCAAATCTTACTACTCCCTGTTAGATGAAATTGAACTGAAGTAAAACTCAAGTTCTTAACAATAATGGTGAATTTTTCCTAACATATGATAAGCAGGAGGATTCTATGTTGTATATGGATGAGTATTTAAAAACATTTATTGAACAAGGCTTAGAAAAGAATCCAACCCTTAGTTCTTAGAATGAGACTAAGTAAAAATAGTAGATTGAAAGTTAATTATCTAGCAATAGGATGGACATGGGAAAGACGTAAAGAAGTATGTGAGTAACTGAGATTGGAAAACTGCATGAAAACACACATCTTTACCTGAACCTCCGTCACTGACACCTTCTATTCCCACACTCCCTAGAATTTCAGTCCCTATATCCACCCAGTGATTCCCCACCCCAGATCAACCCCATTGTTGACTTTCTCTACTGCTGCTCCTTTGTTGCCTAACAATATAGAAAATAAAATGCATAACCCTGCTAATTGGCCAGATCACTGCAGATTTCTCATTCTTGGGCCCAATTGGTTCTCCCTGTTCAGCCAATCTACTTTTTATCTTCCAGTGTCTAGTCCAAACCATTACCAGTTTTCTGAATCCAAATCTATCTGATCATCTCTCTCACTAGGTGATCCCAACTTTCTCCTTCACCAAGAGAATATCTCATTAGACTTTATCTTACATGTAAGTGAAAGGAGGTACAGAAAGTTTAAGTAACTTGCCCAAAGTCTTACTGCTAATAATAGTAGAGCAGAGATTCAAACTTTGTCATTCTAGCTATAGACTTTGCCCTATTAACCATTATACCATTCTGCCTCTCTCTGGTCATACATTTTGAGTGACTTAATACAAAAAATGAGTAGATGGGTTAAAGACCCATCAGAACTTGAAACTTGTGCTGTTTCTGGCCTATAGTAGCCAGGACAGCTAGGCTTGTACTTAAATGTGGCCTGACCCCACATGCTTTTGTTTGGACTTGGTTTTATTTGGATGGCCCTTTCATCAGGGATAAGAGGAACTCCTACGAGGAATTTCCTCTGTGATTAGTCTTTGCTTTGTCCCAGCTTGCTGTGTGGCCAGAATAGATGCTCCCCGTATCTTCGCCTGCTTCAGCTAGTTCTTCTACATTCCCTATTTAACTTGAGGACATTCACCCAGATAAGAATTCAGGAATAGTCCCAGAATCCTTCCAGGTCTCTCCTAAAACTCACTCTCTTGAATCTGTCTCCTTTTTTCATTTTCCACTGTTGTTTCTTTAATTCCTTCATTTGGCTGCTGCTGCTTTTTTTTTCCCCTTGGCATTAAGGATTCAGTGATGAACAGGACAGACAAAGCCCCTGTCCTCAAGGAGTTCCCATTATAGTGGGCAGAGGATGCAACTGAGATCAGATTGTGATAAGTACTATGACAAGTGTTATGAGTGAGAAAAGCAAACTCCAGAGAGTGGGGTATAGTGGGTTGGCCTGAGGGTATTAAAAGCTTCTGTGAGGTAGATGTTCATAAATTTATTGTGCAACTAGAGATCCAAGTTCAGTGATTTTTTTTTTTCTCTTGTAACATTTGCCTGGTTGGATGAGGCACGGAGAAAGTGGATGGATCAATGGCTTTCTTCATTTCCTCGTCATCTCTTATTTGGCCCCATTACATCCAGTTCCTGCCTGTCTACAACTCCATATTAATGCCAGCATGTTCTTTGTAAAACACAGTTGTGTCATATTGTTGCTCTAACTAGAAATTTCTAATGCCCTCTATTTATAGCATTGGTTTCCAGACTTAAGTCTATCAAATCATCTAGAGAGATTACCAGACAGACTAGAGGCTGCCTCTTCATCCTTCATGTCTTTGTCAACTTCTTCTTCTGTAGGTCTGGGGTGGTGCTATGGGCTGCATTGTGTCTTTCCTCCAGTTCATATATCGAAGCCCTAACACTTCATCTCTCAGAATGTGACTCTGTTTTAAGCCAGGGCCTCTAAAGAACTAAAGAGCTTCTGCACAGCGAAATAAACTACCATTAGAGTGAACAGGCAACCTACAGAATGGGAGAAAATTTTTACAATCTACCCATCTGACAAAGGGCTAATATCCAGAATCTACAAAGAACTTAAACAAATTTACAAGAAAAAAATCAAACGACCCCATCAAAAAGTGGGCGAAGGATATGAACAGACACTTCTCTGAAGAAGACATTTACGCAGCCAACAGACACATGAAAAAATGCTCATCATCACTGGCCATCAGAGAAATGCAAATCAAAACCACAATGAGATACCATCTCACACCAGTTAGAATGGCGATCATTAAAAAGTCAGGAAACAACAGATGCTGGAGAGGATGTGGAGAAATAGGAACACTTTTACACTGTTGGTGGAACTGTAAACTAGTTCAACCATTGTGGAAGACAGTGTGGTGATTCCTCATGGATGTAGAACTAGAAATAACATTTGACCCAGCCATCTCATTACTGGGTATATACCCAAAGGATTATAAATCACGCTGCTATAAAGACACATGCACACGTATGTTTATTGTGGCACTATTCACAATAGCAAAGACTTGGTCTATCAATGATAGACTGGATTAAGAAAATGTGGCACACATATACCATGGAATACTATGCAGTCATAAAAAAGGATGAGTTCACGTCCTTTGTAGGGACATGGATGAAGCTGGAAACCATTATTCTCAGCAAACTATCATAAGGACAGAAAACCAAACACCGCATGTTCTCACTCATAGGTGGGAATTGAACAAAGAGAACACCTGGATACAGGGTGGGGAACATCACACACCGGGGCCTGTTGGGGGTGGGGAGCGGGGAGGGATAGCATTAGGAGAAATCCCTAATGTAAATGACGAATTAATGGGTGCAGCACACCAACATGGCACATGTATACATATGTAACAAACCTGCATGTAGTGCACATGTGCCCTAGAACTTAAAGTATAATAATAAAGAAGTAATTAAGTTAAATGGGGTCATTGGAGTCAGCCCTAATCCAATGATGGGTGTCCTTGTAAGAAGAGATTAGGACACAGAGACACACAGACTAAGGGGTGACCATGTGAAGACACAGTGAGAAAGCAGCCATCTCAACCCAAGGAGAGAGGTCTCAGAAAAAAACCAAACCTATTGACACATTAACCTTGGACTTCCAGCCTCTAGAACTATGAGAAGATTAATTTCTGTTCTTGAGGCCATCCAGTCTGTGACATTTTGTGATGGCAGCCCTAGCAGGCAAATACAGGTGGGATCTGAGAATCTGCATTTCTAACATTTTCAGTTGATGTTGATGGTCTAGAGACCACACTTTGAAAACTACTGGTCTGAAGAACATTTTGCTAAATCCTTCATAAACTGGTCTATGTCCAATTTCATTTCCCCACCTTCTCATTCACTTATATAATAGTGTTCTAACCAACCACACTACTCACAGCACTTTCAACATGCCAAATACTTTTTCATCTGTTACCTCTGCTCATGCTGTTTCTCTTGCCTTAATACTTATTCCCCTTTCTCACCATGGTGAGAAAGTCCAGACCTATCATATAGTGTTTGTCTTTCTGTGCCTGGCTTATTTCAGTTAACATAATGTCCTCCAGTTTCATTCATGTTGCTGTAACTCACAGAAGCAGAAAGGAAAATGGTGGATACCAGGGGCTGAGGGGACTGAGGAGATGTTAGTCAAAGGATACCAAATTTCAGACAGGAAGAATCAGTTAAAAAGAGCTATTGCACATCATGGGGACTGCAGTTAATAGCAATGTATTATATACTTGAAAATAGCTAAGAGAGTAGATTTAAGTGTTCTCACCACAAACAAATGATAAGTATTTAAGGTAGTTCATGTGTTAATTAGCTTGATTTAGCCAGTTCATAATGTATACAAATTTTAAACATCATATTATACACAATAAATCTATACAATTTTTTTTTGAGACGGAGTTTTGCTCTTGTCACTGAGACTGGAGTGCAATGGCATGATCTTGGCTCACTGCAACCTCCGCCTCCCAGGTTCAAGTGATTCTCCTGCCTCCTCCTCCTGAGTAGCTGGGATTCCAAGCACCTGCCACCACGCCCAGCTAATTTTTGTGTTTTTAGTAGAGACGGGTTTCACCATGTTGGCCAGGCTAGTCTCGAACTCCTGACCTCAGGTGATCCATCTGCCTCAGCCTCCCAAAGTGCTGGGATTACAAATGCAAGCCATCATGACTGGCAATATATATGATTTGTCAGTTAAAAAATTAAAAAATAAGAATAAGAAAAGAAATGTCAGGCCAGATGTGGTGGCTCATGCCTACCATCCCAGCGCTTTGGGAGGTCAAGACAGAAGGATGGCTTGAGACCAGCCTGGGCAACATGGCAAGACCCTATTTCTACCAAAAAAAAAAAAAAAAAATGAAAATAGCCAAATATGCTGGCAAGTGCCTGTGGTCCCAGCTGCTCAGGAGGCTGAGGCAGGAGGACCCCTTGAGCCCAGGAGGTTGAAGCTGTATTGAGCCATGATGGCACCACTGCATTCTAGCTTGGGTGATAGAGCAACAGCCTGTCTCAAAAGAAAAAAAATATTCCTTAAACATAACCTCTGAGAATCCTTCCCTCATTCTACTATTTAGATAAAATTAATTACTACTTCCCTCTGTCTCCCATAGTGCTTCATATCTCTTGGCATTTCTCATAGTGTAGCATAATTTTTTATGTGTCTCTTGCTTTGAGGAACTATAGTTTGTTTGCTACTGCATCCCCGATGACTTGCACAGGGCCTGGCACATAACAGATGCTCAATAAATGTTTGTTGAAAAAATGACTAGTTAGGCAGTTAGATTCTTAGTGTGGTTGGAGAAGAGCCTTCAGAACAGTCTTGAATGAAAAAGGGGTAATACACTTCATCTCCTCTTATAAGGATACCTGATATTAAGCCTCCCTAGATGGAGGCCCATGTAGTGGAAAGTATAGGTCTCCTAGAACACTCCAAAAACTACCAGCCAGTCTAATTTAAGAGACTTTCTGTTAACTATGCAGAAAGAAAGGCAGGATGTTTCAAAATCATGTGTCCCATGTCCTGTCCTTCTTTTGGATTACCCGGGAATTTTAGAAACCAGTGAAGTACCATTATTGAAAGCACAGCTAAACAAACTGGCTGAACAAGCAAGTTCCAAGCACGAAGTGCAGAAGGAATGAGTTCCCTTACTCCCCAGTAAGGGCCTAAGAAGCAATTAACAAAATGTTCTCTGCCTCTAATCTCCCTCTCACCCCCAGCCAGGACACAGTACATTGCCTGAGTTCTCAGTGATGACACAGGCCATCATCCTAGGGTCAAGAAGCTTAAAATTCTGCCAGAAACACATGACATTAGAATGTGAAAAATACAGAGATGCTTTATATTGCGATATTGATAATTTTGCAATTGTAAGCCTTGTTCTGATTCCACGTGGCATTAAGAATTTTAAGAAACTTCTGTTTCTGATTTATGCTGCTTAATTAAAAAGAACTAGGATGTTGTTAAGGCTGTGTTGTTGGGTGAAATGTCGCTATGACATTTTTAAAACAGTGGAGTCACGGCTCAGCTACCTGATAACGTTAAAACTAAACAGAAACTATATGTGCAGGCTGAGAGTAACTTCCCTACAAAAGAGGTCCTGTGCTTGGAATTACCTATTGGCTGGTTTGATGGCCTCATTTGAACTTCACTCACAAGTTGTTCTCTGTGGCTCAGAGCAGAATTCTACCTCGTGCTTAGTGGTCTAGTATATTTCCAATGTCTGCACATTTATAATTTGTAAGGAATGTCTTGTATTTGTTCACAGTAAGGGCTCCTTGTGAGAATTACCCATTTTCTGTCTTTGGGTGGGTTTTACAAAAATAGCCACTTTTAGTCTTATGAAGGCACCTATTTCTTCATAATATTAGGGGATATTTTGAATTACTCTGGGAATCATGATGATGAATTTTCATACTAACTGCCTTTTTGGCTCATCCTGTCTTTTTAGTAATACTTGCTCAGTGGGGAAGGAGCAGAATAGCATAAAGCATAGAGACCGATGAATTAAGAAGACGGGAGAGCAAAATTTAGGAGAAAAAGAGACCCAGGAAATGGACAAAGAGAAATAAATTCCAGGGAAGGAGAAGGAAAGAGGGGGACATATGTGGAGAAGAGAGAAGACGTAGTTTCAGGAATTGGAGGTGACTGTGCAGGAAACCAGCAGCTCATACAGCAGGTATTTTGGGAGTGTGGGGGGAAGGGCCCCAGGCACCCATTTGCTGTTTACACATCTCATGCTCTTTGCTATTCACTTTACTCTCATTATCCTGTCAAATCCTCCGAAGAACCCTGTGGGATATTAACATCCTGGTTCAGTGAAGTTAAGTCACTTGCCTAATGTCACTTAGTAAGTGGCAGAAATGGAATGCCCAGGAGTGTTCTGACCTCAAAGCCCATTCTTATGGTCAAGTCCAAGGGGCTTTCTTTTTCCTGGCTCAGGGCATTCTGCAAACCATGGTCATAACTGAAGTCAAATTTGGATGCCCATTCACTTGAGGGTGGATATTAGGAGAGGGTCCTACATGTGTGCAGTTAGGCTGTCATCAACCTGCCTCTCTGCTCCAAGTGGACGGAATGGAGTTTCAATTGCCTAGGGTGCCTTGCCTTAGTATAACTGTGAGGTGGGTAAATGAGTTGAGTCTTCCATACTCTCTCCTCTGGAATGTACCTCCCTTGGACCCTCATACAGTAAATGCCCTTGTGACCAATCTTCTTTACTTCAGTCCCATATTTCACTGGCTGGGGACTCTGCCCTCTTTTAAAGGAAACTTAAGTGCCACTGGTTATCTGACTTCAAACCCTGCCCGGTCATTTGCCTTGCAATGAAACTACATATACAACTCCTGCAAAAAGCTCTTAAAGAGTAAGAAAATTGCTAGCAGCTCCCAAGTAATCAGACCTGGAATGTAGATCCTCCACCACTTTTCTCTCATCTCATTTTCAGCCATTTGTTGGAACTGTTTCTTCAGCTCTCTTGTTGCCTCATGGAATTAATCTCCAACATTCTCTCCAGCTGTATTCCCTACTCCCATTATGTGAGGTTAAGCCCTTTCTGTCTTTTGTTAAGCCCCTCCATTAGCATTGTAAATAGCCCCATGTCAGGGTCTCTTCATTGTTCCTCTTAAAGATTTTTTGCCAGATTATTCTTACCCAAAACACAATGTAGGTCTTGCTGTATGTTCACTTGGTCACACCAATTGCAGAATAAAACTCCCACACCTTAGTTTGGCTTTTGAAGCCCTCCACCCAGTCCCACAGAGACTCATCCCACCTTACCTTCTAGTACTCTCCAATCCAGTGTTCCCTATTCCAGGGCATATTTAGAATTTTTCCCATTTCTTTGCCTTTATTCCCACAATTCCGTCTGCTTGGAAGTCATTCTCCCTTCATCCCCACATGTCCAAATCTGTCTGTAATTCCAATGCCAGATATCCCCAAAACCTTTTATTAGCACTCTCTTCCCCATCCTTCTGGCTGAAGTGATGATCTCCCACTATCTTTTATTTAAAACTCTTTCAAGACAATTGCATTTTTAAATTTGTATTTGAAATATCTAGGTAATAAGCACCAGTGTTATGTATTCTTGCAGAAATTTGCTCCACAGAATTATGAACAGTTGACACGTTCTTCCTGTGTTTTCCCCACATGTGTGAGATAGTGGGAAAACACTGTTATCAGAGCTATGTTTAAAAGGAATAATTACCATAAAACTCTATACATTACACATCCAGAATTAAGTAAAGCATAGACACTGGAATATAACAGGTACTCTACAGATATTTGTGAATGAATGAATACATAAGCAAATGAAAATTCCTCAAGAGTTCAGTCTTTAAAAATCCCTAACCTTACAATCATTACCATGTTAAACACTTCTGGGACTTATCTATGAGGACTCCAGAACTCTATAAGACCCCACAGTCTTATGGTTATCGGGGGTACCCATGTGTGCACCAGATATTCCATCTGGGACCTGTGGGCTTTACCTTCCCTAAAGTAAGTTCCATACCTGGCTTACACTAGAGGTGGCTAGACAATGAGAATAGTTTGGCTGGTTATAAAATTCTCAGGTCATGTTTTCATTTCTTTAGAATTTTATCCATGGTTTTTCATTGTATTCTACAGTCTATTCTAATTCATTACGTTGTCATATATCTTCTATATGTTGCTAGAAAGGAGTCAGAAGCCAATAGAAGTTTTTATTCTCCTTGCTCTTTATAAGTGGGCATCCATAGAATATTTTTTATCTTTGGAGTTCAGCAACATCATCAATACTATGTCAGGCTTTCCTAGGGAAAGATATGTCTTTTTTATCTTCAGTTTCAAATCTTTATTCCAGGCTTATTTTCTTCTTTTAAATCTTTTAATATTTGTATTCCATTTTTTCTGTTCTCTTTTTCAGGAACACCAATTATAGGTGTGTAGGATTCCCTTTGACTTCTACATCTATCATCTTTATAAAAATGTTAATATCTTCGTTTTTCTTAACTTGTTTTATGTCATTTCTTTAAGCCTCTTCACTGTATCCACAGCTGTTTTTCAGTTGTGTTTATTTTATATATGTGCTTTTAATGGGACTTTATCATGCTTTTATTTTTATTTTCCATTTCTCTGCCAACTTACTCTTTTTATCATCTTCTATAATCTCATAGTAATCACCTATTTGAAATTCTGTATCTCTTCTTTAAGCTCATTCTACAGCTATATGAAATATTTTTGTGTCTTTTGAGATTTATTTGTAGAATCCTTCCTTTTTATCTGATGGTTCTTTTTCTGTTAAATGATCTTAATCCAATTTTTCTTCTTTTCTTCTTTATTGGAGGAATTCAGTTTTGTTTAATTTTGCTTGCTTTAGTTTTGTAGTTTTATGCATAGGTCTCAAGTTGGTGCCTTTTTGTTTATTAGTTATTCTTGATTTGGGCTGCTAGCTTCTGAAGAATATATTTATGTACAATGAAAGAGAACAGTTAAATTGGAGCATTCTGCAACTTTAGTTGAGCCTTCTTATGTCAAAAGCCTTCTCACAAAATCTGTTATGTTTTGTGTTTGTTATTTATTTTAATCTTAGGCATCTGATTTCAATTTTTGTCACTCAAAAATCTGGTGTGGTTTTTAGCAAAACCTCTAAGTCATAGTTGGTTAGTGTCATGATCTGGGGATGGCTGCCTCTTGTCTCTCTGTCATCCTGTTCTCCTCTGACTGTCTCTATCAACTAGGTGGTTATGCGGTGGATCATAGGAAGAGCCACTCGGCTTGTTTCCACTTCAGATCCAGCTCCCTGCTGATCTGTCAGGATATGACCTGCTTCTTTATGATATGTTTGTGAACTCAGATCTCATTGCCTCTAACAAAATGACATTTCAACATGCCTTTAAGGGCAGTGGCTCTCGTTCTCGGTGCAGTCTGCTTTCTACTTGAGTTCTGAGGCATACATGTTCACTCTTACATATACACATTTTACATGATTGGTCTGCTGTAGTTTATACTTGGGACAGCATTGCCATTTCTATTTAAATGAATTTTTTCCTGTAATAGTCTTAAACATGTGGTATTTGAGAGAACAGAATAAAATGGAAACACCTTTACATCTTTAAGCAAAGGTCCAGATGGCATGTTTTTAAAGGTCAAATCAGATGAAAAGAAAGCCATGTGTGGATTATAGAAAATAGTCTATAAACTAGATAACACCAAAGTAATGGGAATTTGTTGCCCTTATGAGTTGGCTGTGTAATTCTTTGGAACCCTTCTCAGATGAAATAATGGTGGAAAAACAACTTTAAAATGTAGGAAACTAAGTATAAGGTGGTAATATTCTCTATAGAAAATAATTTATGTAAGTCAAATTTATCCTAAGAAACTTAGTTGCTGGAATACCCAAAGGCCTTTTTATTTATTTGGCTTCAAATATTTGTACTTATTATCAAAGGAAAATATATTAGTGTCCTTAAGCAGAGGCAAATAGCTATTGCATAAATGTGAGATAAAGCCATGTTGCTTTGATGTGTTCTAGAATCATACAGAATAGCAGAGCAGCATCCTAAGCAATGAGCTAATTGCCAGGTTCTCTGACATTCTGGATGAATGTTTGAGCATGTACCAATGAAGCCTCCTGTGTGGCAGTATTACTTGTCACCCTCCCCTACCATTGGTTTACAAAGGGATGGCAACTATGTAGCACTTGCGCTGCCACTTCTCTCTCTCCCAGTCCATAAATGAGTGCTAATTCATGATCTTACCCTTAGGTCGAACATGGCCTCAGAATCTTTCCCAGTACAAAACTTAAAGCACTACTATAAATCCATTCAAGTTGGTGTGACAGAAGCAATCGGTTTGCCACTCTTTGTCTAACTTGCCATTGGACTTCCTGATTTGATGATCTTCCAAAAATAATGATGAGCCAGTAGAAATGTGTGA
Source organism: Homo sapiens (assembly GCF_000001405.40). Classification (NCBI taxonomy): domain Eukaryota; kingdom Metazoa; phylum Chordata; class Mammalia; order Primates; family Hominidae; genus Homo; species Homo sapiens. The sequence goes on from NT_187578.1 coordinate 203,122, forward strand.
AATTATACATAGAAAATGAGATTGTCTAGTTCTAGATCCTTGAGGAATCGCCACACTGTCTTCCACAATGGTTGAACTAGTTTACAGTCCCACCAACAGTGTAAAAGTGTTCCTATTTCTCCACATCCTCTCCAGCACCTGTTGTTTCCTGACTTTTTAATGATCGCCATTCTAACTGGTGTGAGATGCTATCTCACTGTGGTTTTGATTTGCATTTCTCTGATGGCCAGTGATAATGAGCATTTTTTCATGTGTCTGTTGGCTGCATAAATGCCTTATTTTGAGAAGTGTCTGTTCATATCCTTTGCCCACTTTTCGCTGGAGTTGTTTGTTTTGTTCCTGTAAATGTGTTTAAGTTCTCTGTAGATTCTGGATATTAGCCCTTTGTCAGATGAGTAGATTGCAGAAATTTTCTCCCATTCTGTAGATTGCCTGTTCACTCTGATGATAGTTTATTTTGCTGTGCAGAAGCTCTTGAGTTTAATTAGATCCCATTTGTCAATTTTGGCTTTTGTTGCCGTTGCTTTTGGTGTTTTAGACATGAAGTCCTTGCCCATGCCTATGTCCTGAATGGTATTGCCTAGGTTTTCTTCTAGGGTTTTTATGGCTTTAGGTCTAAAATTTAAGTCTTTAATTCATCTTGAATTAATTTTTGTATATGGTGTAAGGAAGGGATCCAGTTTCAGCTTTCTGCATATGGCTAGCCAGTTTTCCCAGCATCATTTATTAGATAGGGAATCCTTTCCCCATTTCTTGTTTTTGTCAGGTGTGTCAAAGGTCAGATGGTGGTAGATGTGTGGTATTATTTCTGAGGGCTCTGTTCTGTTCCATTGGTCTGTATCTCTGTTTTGGTACCAGTACCATGCTGTTTTGGTTACTGTAGCCTTGTAGTATAGTTTGAAGTCAGGTAGCGTGTTGCCTCCAGCTTTGTTCTTTTGGCTTAGGATTGACTTGGCAATGCGGGCTCTTTTTTGGTTCCATGTGAACTTTAAAGTAGTTTTTTCCAATTCTGTGAAGAAAGTCATTGGTAGCTTGATGGGGATGGCATTGAATCTATAAATTACTTTGGGCAGAATGGCCATTTTCACGATATTGATTCTTCCTACCCACGAGCAGGGAATGTTCTTCCATTTGTTTGTGTCCTCTTTTATTTCCTTGAGCAGTGGTTTGTAGTTCTCCTTGAAGAGGTCCTTCACATCCCTTGTAAGTTGGATTCCTCAGTAGTTTATTCTCTTTGAAGCAATTGTGAATGGGAGTTCACTCATGATTTGGCTCTCTGTCTGTTACTGGTGTGTAAGAATGCTTGTGATTTTTGCACATTGATTTTGTATCCTGAGACTGCTGAAGTTGCTTATCAGCTTAAGGAGATTTTGGGTGGAGAGGATGGGGTTTTCTAAATATATAATCATGTCATCTGCAAACAGGGACAATTTGACTTCCTCTTTTCCTAATTGAATACCTTTATTTCTTTCTCCTGCCTGATTGCCCTGGCCAGAACTTCCAACACTATGTTGAATAGGAGTGGTGAGAGAGGGCATCCCTGTCTTGTGCCAGTTTTCAAAGGGAATGCTTCCAGTTTTTGCCCATTCAGTATGATATTGGCTGTGGGTTTGTCATAAATAGCTCTTATTATTTTGAGATATGTCCCATCAATACCTAATTTATTTATTTATTGAGACAGAGTCTCGCTCTGTTTCCCATGCTGGAGCGCAGTGGCACAATGTTGGCTCACTGCAAGCTCCGACTCCCGGGTTCACACCATTCTTCTGCCTCAGCCTCCTGAGTAGCTGGGACTACAGGTGCCTGCCACCATGCCTGGCTATTTTTTTTGTATTTTTTTTTTTTTAGTAGAGACGGGGTTTCACCGTGTTAGCCAGGATGGTCTTGATCTCCTGACCTCGTGATCCGCCCACCTCGGCCTCCCAAAGTGCTGGGACTACAGGCGTGAGCCACCGTGCCTGGCCCATCAATACCTAATTTATTGAGAGTTTTTAGCATGAAGGGCTGTTGAATTTTGTCAAAGGCCTTTTCTGCATCTATTGAGATGATCATGTGCTTTTGGTCTTTGGTTCTGTTTATATGCTGGATTACATTGACTGATTTGTGTATGTTGAACCAGCTTTGCATCCCTGGGATGAAGCCCACTTGATCTTGGTGGATAAGCTTTTTGATGTGCTGCTGGATTTGGTTTGCCAGTATTTTATTGAGGATTTTTGCATTGATGTTCATCAGGGATATTGGTCTAAAATTCTCTTTTTTTGTTGTGTCTCTGCCAGGCTTTGGTATCAGGATGATCCTGGCCTCATAAAATGAGTTAGGGAGGATTCCCTCTTTTTCTATTGATTGGAATAGTTTCAGAAGGAATGGTACCAGCTCCTCCTTGTACCTCTGGTAGAATTCAGCTGTGAATCCATCTGGTCCTGGACTTTTTTTGGTTGGTAGACTATTAATTATTGTCTCAATTTCAGACCTGTTATTGGTCTTTTCAGGGATTCAGCTTCTTCCTGGTTTAGTCTTGGGAGGGTGTATGTGTCGAGGAATTTATCCATTTCATCTAGATTTTCTAGTTTATTTGCTTAGAGGTATTCATAATATTCTCTGATGGTAGTCTGTATTTCTGTGGGATCAGTGGTGATATCCCCTCAAGTATCTAGAACTAGAAATATCATTTGACCCAGCCATCCCATTACTGGGTATATACTCAAAGGATTATGAATCGTGCTGCTATAAAGACACATGCACACGTATGTTTATTGCAGCACTGTTCACAATAGCAAAGACTTGGAACCAACCCAAATGTCCATCAATGATAGACTGGATTAAGAAAATGTGGCACATATACACCATGGAATACTATGCAGCCATAAAAAGGATGAGTTCATGTCCTTTGTAGGAACATGGATGAAGCTGGAAACCATCATTCTCAGCAAACTATCGCAAGGACAAAAAACCAAACACCGCATGTTCTCACTCATAGGTGGGAATTGAACAAAGAGAACACTTGGACACTGGAAGGGGAACATCACACACTGGGGCCTCTCATGGGGTGGGGGGAGGGGGGAGGGATAGCATTAGGAGATATACGTAATGTAAATGATGAGTTAATGGGTGTAGCACACCAACATGGCACATGTATACATACGTAACAAACCTGCATGTTGTGCACATGTACACTAAAACTTAAAGTATAATAAAAAAAAAAGAAAATGAGATTGTCTAACTGTCAGGAAACAGTCTATTTGCTTGTTTTCCAGGCCATTTGAGTAGGGTGACTGACATTCAATTTAAATATTTATTGATGCCTTCTCTGGGCCAGTCCTGCTGAACTGGAGAAAGGAGATTGTTTTAGTCTATGGTGTGCTGTTATAACAATACCAGAGAGTGGGTAATTTATAAAGAACAGAGATTTATTTCTTGCAGTTACAGAGGTTGGGAAGTCCAAAGTTGAGAGGCTTGCATCTGGTGAGAGCCTTCTTGCTGTGTCATCGCATGAGGAAGGGCAAGCAAGCATATATATGCAAGAGATTAAGGAGAGTGAACTCATCCTTTTACCAGGAACCCGCACCCGTGACAACAGCATTAATCCATTCACAAGGGCAGAGCCCCCATGACCTAATCACCTCTTAAAGGCCCTACCTCTCAACATTGTTGCATTGGGGACTAAATTTCTTTTCTCTCTCTCTCTCTTTTTTTTTTTTTAGATGGAGTTTTGCTCTTGTTGCCCAGGCTGGAGTGCAGTGGTGCAGTCTTGGCTCACTGCAACCTCCAGCTCCCAGATTCAAGTGATTCTCCTGCCTCAGCCTCCCAAGTAGCTGGGATTACAGGCATGCGCCACCACACCTAGCTAATTTTTGTATTTTTAGTAGAGATGGGGTTTCTCCATGTTGGTCAGTCTAGTCTCTAACTCCCGACCTCAAGTGATCTGCCTGCCTCAGCCTCCCAAAGTGCTGGGATTACAGGCATGAGCCACTGGCTGGGCCGGGGGATTAAATTTCTAATACATAGATTTTGGGGACACATTCAAGCAAGAGCAAATATGAATATAATATAGGCCTTGTCTTTAAGGAGTCAGCCAATTAGTCAGCTAGTATTTATCCAACACTTCTTCTGGCAGATATAATACTTAGCACTGGGGTTATAGCAGAGAACAAAAGAGATACTGACCTTGTCCTCATGAAATGAATAGTCTAAAAGGAAGATGGGAATTCAGCATATATAATGGTTAACTAACAAATACATAAAGTCCTACAAAGTAGTAGACTGTATACCACTACTTTCATTTGACCATGGGTTCCGAGTTTGTTGTGGGTGGAGAGGTTTTCTAGCTAATGTTAGAGATAGCTGCAGAAGGCCAGGCATGGTGGCTCACACCTGTAATCCCAGTAATTTGAGAGGCCAAGGCAGATGGATCACTTGAGCTCAAGAGTTCAAGACCAGCCTGGGCAACATGGCAAACCCCCATCTCTACAGAAAATACAAAAATCAACCAGGTATGGTGGTGTCTGCCTGTGGTCCCAACTATTTGGGGGTGCTGAGGCAAGATAATTGCTTGAGTCTGGGAGGCAGAAGTTGCAGTGAGCCAAGTTTGCACCATTGCACTCCAGCCTGGGTGATGGGAGTCAAACCCTGTCTCCAAAAAAAAAAAAAAAAAAAAAGAAAGAAAGAAAGAAAAAAAAGAAATAGCTGCAGAAGCAAACTAATAGAATTTGGTATGCTACATACGGTAAAATAGTTATATACAAAGAATAGAAAAAATATGAGACATAATAATTCTGTCTTATAGGGTTTGGGAATCAGAGAAAGGGAATACCTGAGGGAGGTTTTAATGAATGAATGGTATGTCAATGGGAAGAGGAGAGGGGAAGGCTTTCCAGATGGAGGAAATAGCTTGAGTTCAAAAACTAAAGACAGCTATTGCCTAGTATTTGCAGAGAAATATAAATGATTCTGAATGGCAAGCATTAGGCAAGGTTAAGATAATAAAGGTCCCTATATGACATATAAAGAAGCTTAAACTTTGTCTTTATATACTGGTGAGCCTGACATTGACATGGTCCCACTTATTACAGAAGGATCATTTGGTAGCAGTATTGAGGAAGGATTAATGGGTGGAATAAAGCCTGGAGATAAGGAACATAAATAGGTTATTATACCATGTGAAGGAGCTAATGAGGAATTATAATGACCTATTTCAATCACAGATTTGAAATGACAGATTCTAAATACCTAAGCCAGCTTACACTTTTTGGTCCCCACTTCACCTGATTTTTCTATGTTAATGAAGATGGAAAGGAGAGAACAAATTTGGGAAATATTCAGGAGGTAAAATTCACTTGCCAAGTGATTGATTGGTCATGATCTTTAAGAGGTAGGATGGGTGATTAGGCATATCAAGGTTTCACTAAGTAAGATGCAGATTCTATGAGATTTGAGCTCAAAATCTATGAGTTTAGTCTTGGATATATGAACTGTAGACATCTATAAACATTCAGTAAATATGTCCGGTTGGGTGGTGCCTATATGTGTCTAAATTTAAAAGAGTCATCAATCCTGAATATGTGGATTTGAGCATTATTAGCATATTGTGATGGTTAAAACCATGTAGATAAATGAAATTACCCAGGATAAGCATATATGGTGAAAAGAAAAGTCTGAGAAGAAACCCCTGGGGAATATCGGTACTTAAATAGTTTGCAGAAGAATAGACTCCAGCAAGGCAGCCTACAAAGAAATAATCAGAAATGTAAGAGGCAAATCAAGAGAGTGGTGTCACAGAAGTCAAGGTAAATGAAACTTATAGGGGCCGGGCATGGTGACTCATGCCTGTAATCTCTGCACTTTGGGAGGCTAAGGTGGGTGGATCACTTGAGGCTGGGAGTTGAGACCAGCTTGGCCAACATGGTAAAACACCATCTCTATTAAAAAAAAATTAAAAATTAGCTGGGCCTGGTTGTATATGCCTGTAGTCCCAGCTACTGGGGAGGCTGAGGCACAAGAATCACTTGAACCTGGGAGGTGGAGGTTGCAGTGAGCCAAGATTGCACCATTGCACTCCAGCCTGGGTGACAGATGGAAACTCTGTCTCAAAAGATAAAATAAGTGAATAAAAAATAAAATAAATAAAAAAACAAGCTTAAGGAAGATGGTTTCTACAGTGTTACAAACTACAGTGAAATGGAGTAAACTAGGGGCAGAAAAGTGTTAGTTGGGTTTGGCACTTAAAAGTTTGTTGTTATTTAGTAAAAAAAGCTTCAATAGAGAAATGGTAAAGAAGCCAGATTGCAATTAGTAAAGATGGGAAAATTACAACCTCAAAGCACTATTTAGATGGAATGAAAAGGAAAATGGAGGGTAGAGTTAGGAAGATATCTGGAAAGAGATGAGAGAGGGTTTCATCACAGTGAGGAAAGATTGTTTCCTAGGAAGAAGAAGAGGTCAATGGAGGAGAGAGTGAGATGGAAGGTGATAGGACCAGAATTCAAATGAAGAAGCTGGCTTTCATCTCAGTTTGGATCTTTCCAGAAACATGCCATGAGACAAAAAAGCAGATACAAATAGTTTCTTTGGTAAGCCGAGGAAATATCAGTAGTGGAGTGGGACAGTGAGAAAGGGAAGGAAGACAGCTGACAAAGGATAAACTGTCAAGTCAGCTATCATCATGAGTCGCTGGAACTTAACTCAGTGGGAAAGTCTGTAACAGTGTAAAATGCATGCCTCAGAATTTTCTCAACCAAAAGGTGGGAAAGCTGAGGCATTTTTACTCCAAATACCTTCAAACGTTGGTTGAGGGTTGCTTCCTGGAGTTTTACTTCTCTGGCACTTCTAGCCTGCATTGCAGGTGACTGAGCAATTATCCTCTGCTTCAGGAAAATAGCTCCAGATAAATAGAAGTTGCAGATACTGCACAGCTGGGAGTTGGGCCAGATCAACTGAAGCAGTAAGGCTCAGGGGTACATGCTAGCACCAATTGCTTCTCCTAAGTTTGGAGGACTGGCTTCAGCTGAGTGAATGGAGGCATGGCATTGAATGGACTCTCCATTAACCTTTCATGTAATAATTTTGTGTGTGCTTATTGCTAAATTCATAAACTTTCAATTTTGAGAGTCAAACATGTTTAATTAGAAATCTATAGGATAAAAACCTACCCCCATCTTACATATGCAATTGATAATATAATCCTGATGATGCCTGGCTCCAGTTTCAATAGAAGTAGAAGCTCTTATTTGATTTAAAATAATCAGTGAATTAATCTAGGTATTTAGAAATTAAAGTGGGGAAACAAGCCCCCAGTCACAGAATTCATATCCTTAGGAAAAGTCATCATCCTATAGTTGGTGTCTATTACTACAGAGATATAAATATAGGCATTGGCCTCAAATTTATACTATTTTGAGTTGATTTGAAAGATTTGAGTGGTAGTTTAGGCTCTGGAAATATGTTTCCCTTCTGAATTTTTTTCTTTGAAATTTGGGTAAAAATGATTTTTCTCCTGCATAATGATATGAATAACACTATTTACTCTTAAATGTGTTAATCTACTTACTAAATATCAAAGAAATGATTGAAATGTTTCAAGGGGACATGGAGCTGAAAGGTGGAATGAGAGACTTCCGTTTGGGCTATAAGCCTTGTGGTTTTATTTGACCTTTTAAACTCAGCACTTACACTACTTTATTTCTAAATGTTCTATGAAGGAATAAGAGTTTGTAGAACAAAAGAGAAGGGCTAAAAGAGAGACCAGTTAGAAAGAGGTGGAGAGTCAGAACTGGAGTGCAAAAGCACAAAGATTCCAGGCATACAAGGATGATAAATCACTTCCACAAATGAGCGCAAAGGGATATTGTGTACAATGCTTCCATGAAGAAAGAGGGCACTGATAGGTACCCACCTGGTTGAAATGAACAACTACTGTATTCCAAGCTTTGTGTTGACAGTTTTAACCTTTGCATGTCATTTTCCAGGGAGTGAGACCTTTAGAGCTGGATGCTTAAGTCTGTAACTTAAGTTTCTTCCACAAAGAGGATTTATTTTGCTTTTTGTGACATGATGGTGCTAGAACAAAATGTACTAAGAAAAATTTGATGGCAGTGATAGCATTATCTTGAGGGATAAAGAAGTGGAGTGAGAATGCTAAGTGTAGATGAAAAGGCCTCTTCAAAACCCATTTGGATTTGTAAAGTGCATGCCTGGAGACAGCTTGAGCCTCTAGAAATGAGAAGAACAATGGGAGAATGGTTTTATTCCCATCTGAATAATTGCAAGTTGACCTTCCTCCAACTAGAAAAGTGGGGTTGTGTCTGAGGACTTGGTTGGAGAATAATTTTTCCTTAGTTGCTTCATGATACTGAACAGGTCACTTAGCCTTTCTCCTCCTTACTTTCTTTCACAGTAAAATGAGATGGTAATCTCCACTTCTAAGGGTTGTTGTGGAGACCACATGAAGACATTGATGTAACTCTGCCTGGCAGATGATGTAAAGTGCCCATTTGTGCCTTTTGCTTTCTTTGCTTTTGAGGCATTTGGCACTTTTATTATTCTTTGATCAAAATGAGAGCTTTCACATGGGAAATCAATTTTTGGGGGATTTGGGTCTTCAAACTTTCATCCAAAAATAAAGACTATATATTCCGTGACATAGTATGAGTAACAAATGAGAGAATTTGAAATGCAGCCTTAAAGGGTGTTAAAATAATTTTGTTTAACATGGACTGAAGATCAGCACAGAGCTCAGGTTTGATGGAGAGCATAAAATTAGACAAATTCCTGGATAAAAGACTTATAATCTAATTAGCCATCAAGATCCCATAAATATTTATGCAAAAATCGTATGACTGGAAAGAATTTCAAGTTAAATGCAAATATGATTTTGAAAAAAGAAAGCCCTTAACTTCCTTGTTCACTCTAACCTCTTATATGCATTCAACATGTCATCGAAATATTAAAAAAAGAAAAATCTTAAATCACTTTAGTGTGACAAGTTGTCTATAGCCGGATGGTTGACTGGATATAAAACATTATACCCCTTCAGCTATTAAAGCTGTCCTTGAAAAAGAATATCTCTCAGTTTCCTTCAAGATCACTTGTGCTTCAATGAATAGCATTAAACCGCTTTGATTTTGATAATGTCATTTCATCAGCACAGTTTTTTGCCCTTGACCTATAAGAGATACAAGTGGGAGGTTCCTAAAAGTCATTTCAACATTGTCAGCTGAATATAAGTATGATTTTCTGAGCTGACTACAAATGGAACAAGCTGTAAGAGTATTTTGTTCACTGCAGGTGTTCAAATATAGGCTCAATATATAGTAGTTATCATGTTGCCTCAGTTACTCTAAGATGTTCTGGCTCTAGGAAACCAAAGATGACGAGAAGAATATGGACACACATTAAGTTGAGGAAAGAATTGGGTTATGGGGTATCTATCTCTCTACAAACTTGCAAATAAGCACAACTGTTCACTGATGTTAAGCCAGAGAATATTTGGAACTCATTAGGTTTTACTTCCTTGTATTTTAGTGTGTGTCTCCACATACTTGAAAACCACATTAACAAACTAGATTTGTACCCTTGCACTAAGGCTTACTTGTCTGATTTAGGGCAAGTTATGGACCTACTCTAGGCCTCAGTTTCCTTGTCTGTAAAATGGGGTTATTAATAAGAGTGCCTGCCTTATAAGATTATTATGGGGGTTCATTAAGGCAATCCTGGAGAGTTTCACTCTGCCTACCTCACAGGAAGCATTCAAAATATAATCTTTTTATTAAAATAAAGACAAAAGAGTGTCTTATAAGGGGATTTTCCCATACCATAGGACCATTTGTCTCTCAAAAAAAGTATTACCTTTTTCAAACTGTAAAAGTTCTTTTCTGAAACTCTAAGCATAGGTTGGGTACTTGGACTAGATTCATGGGATATGTTTTTACCCCAGACTTCATTATTTTAAGTATTTAATTCATAGCATTCATTTAGACTAAATATTTCAATATTTTTTTCTCTCAAAATACTGATAGCCTGGCTATCCTAGGTAAGCATTGTATAGGATAAGGAGCTAGCACGGTAAAGTAGGAAGCCCTCTGACTTTAGAGTGCCGTGGCCATAGTTTATGTTCTAGCTTTGACACTTGTTAGCCAGGTAGTCACCTGAGGCAAGTTACTTAACCTCTCTGAGCCTCAGTATCCACAATTGTTAAAAAAAAAAAAAAGATAATATTATTTTTAAAGGACTGGAAGAAAAGCATAATGAGTTATTTCATGTTATATCATATGGTACTGGGTATCCAGCAAACAATCTTTCCAAAGATTGCAATTTTCACTTTTCAGCCAGCCAGGTATGTCTGCATGATTAAACACAGCCTGAGAGTGCTTTGTCCCCACCCCACAAGCAGCAGGAATATCTTCTGTCTTGCCTTTGTCCTAACACAGAATTGATGTAAGTTTCTGGATTGTTCCCAGGCTGTGTCAGTACAAAGGCCCTAAATAAATGCTTTGGTTAGAAACAGTTTTGGCTCATTCACAAAGCAGTGACAAAAGTGACCAACTTCCAAAGGCAAAGCAAATGATTCTGTGACTGGCTTTATTTGCTCAGGGAAGAATTTGTGAATTTTGTGCCAACAGCATATGTACACATTGCTGTAGCTATCTCTTCCTCCTTTTTAGAGCCATTGAGGCTTCTTAGCTTGATGGGCTAAACTAGAGAGAATTCGAGTTTTTGTGTTATTAAGTTTGGGACATTCTAGCTTCAATCTTACCATTGCTTTTGATTTTTGTTTTCTGGGTCTTGTAAAAGCTTTGAGGGTTTGACCTACCATTTTGTTAGCATTGACCCATCACGGAGCTCTACATGCTGGGTTTTTATGTTCTTGGTTGTCCAGATGGGTTTGTTCTGTGCTGTGGGGAATGCAGTTAATTAAGGCCTTCAGGCAGAACCTACAAGTGCTTTTTAGGTTTTTCTTGCTGATTGGTTCATCATTCTCCTTAACTTATTATCCACATTTCTCCTCCAATCTCAAGAATGAACTTCTCATAAAGCCCCACCGGCTGACATATAGCCTGCAAAGCACTGCCTGTTTGACTGCCTTGTGGTTTCTCTGTGAGGAAAAATAATTGTCGAAATTATTCATATTTAAATCTTAAGCTTTTCTGAAAATAGATGTGAACAAATTAGGTGTCCTGGGAATTAACCTAAGCTAAGTAATTAATGATCTTTTTATCTGTGTGAATAAGGAGAATGTTTAATAAGTATTGCTAATGTTCTCTAAAAGCAGTCCCTTCTTATTGAACAGAATAGTATCATAGTTTGTTCCTATTTGGTGTCTGAACACTCCACGACAAAAATAGAGAACTGAACTACAAATGCTGAGGGTAAGAACTACAAATGCTGAGGGTAAGAACTTTCATTCAACAAATGTTTATGGAACACTTGGCATGTGCTAAACAGTACACACATCAAAAAATTTACCCCTCATAATACAAAGGAGTAGACAGAAATGCAGCAAGTTTCAGGGACTAGCTTGCTTACTTGATTCCAGTTGTCATCTGGCTTCAAATCCACACCTGTCAGACTAAAACTAGTGCTGAAGTCTGTTGAACAGGTGCTTTTTCATCTAGGTGCAAAGTTACATACATGTGCTCAGGTGATGGGGTTGGTGCTGATTTGGAGAGGAAATCTTGCTCTTCTGGTGGCATTCTAGTGACATCCGGCTGAAGCACAGGTTGTTTAATGAACCCATCTAGATTTTACTCTGTAGGTCACAAGCCAGCAAGTACTAAGACAAAAAAAAGGACAAATGGATGAGAACACTGTAACAGGTGTTAACTTCATCCAAAGTTTATTTATAGATAGTGGCACGGTCAGTTAGCAGATGTAAATCTTTTGGGGGGGCTAATTTATGTTAACCATTCCAGGTTGGGTGACAAAATAATATCAAATCCCTGGAATAATTTTTACCACCCTGTGAGGTGTGGAGCTTCAATGACATAGGAAAGAAGAGCAGGTCTCCTAAATATCGTCATTGAATGTATCTTGGTAGGAATTTGTGGGTATTTGTTTGAAATTATGAAAAACTCAGGACATGTATCAGGGAGTCACCATCCCTGCATGCTTATTTTATGCTAAAATGAACCAATGTATCAGACAGTAAACTAACCATCATCCAGAAAGCTAATGACCAGGTATGTGGGTTAAGCCCTTTACTTCCTTTTTTTTAAATTATTTTTACAGAGAAGAAGTTGATGTGGTGACTAAGTGTTCAAACTTGGGGCCAGACACTTGGGTATAAATTCCAGCTCTAATACTTATCAGCTGTGTGAACCTGGGCACTCTGCTTAAACTCTCTGTAAATGTTTCTCATCTATAAAATGCAGTTTATAATTGGATCTATTTCATAGAGTTGTTATGAGTTTTAAATAAATGAATGCTATTTAAATTTTGCTATTTTCTTTTCTTTTCTTTTTTTTTTTTTCTGAGACAGTGTCTTGCTCTGTCGCTCAGGCTGGAGTGCAGAGGCACGATCTTGGCTCATTGCAACCTCTGCCTCCCAGGTTCGGGTGATTCTTGTGCTTCAGCCTCTAGAGTAGCTGGGATTACGGGTGCACACCACCATGGACAGCTAATTTTTTTAATGTATTTTTAGTAGAGACAGGGTTTTGCCATGTTGGCTAGACTGGTCTCGAACTCCTGGCCTCAAGTGATCTACCTGCCTCGGCCTCCCAAAGTGCCAGGATTACAGTCGCAAGCCACTGCACCTGGCCAAAATTTTGCTGTTTTTTTTCATTCCCGTGATCCTTACATTTTGATAGCATTATAAATTTTTTCCCTAAAAATTAAAGGGGAAAGATGAAGTAGAAGTAAAACTAAAAGTGTTTGTTTTTCAGGGTGTTTGTTTGTTTGTTTAGTAATTTTAGCACAAGAACCAGGTGAACCAGGTTGTTTGACTTCATTCATTCATTTTCTTTCCAACATGAATATTATGATTGACTATGCATTAATCAGAGTCTTTTGCAGATATGAGAGGGGAGGGGGTTGGAGGTGAGAGGAGAGGGAGTTGGAGCTAAAGGCAAACTTTTAGTCACCCCTTCCACAGTTCTCCTTGGAACAATCGTAAATATCTGCCATGTGTTGTTCACTTAGGTAACATTTAAAGCACCAGGCCAGATGCTGTGAGAGACATAAAGCATTATGTAAGTCAGAGATCCCTGTTGATTATAATCAGGATTGAAAGATAACACATATGTCTATAGGAAGTTAAATAAGAACTTTGGAGTCTGACTGAAAGAAAATGAGTGCACAAAAAGCAAATCAGACTGGGCTTAAGAGGGTTTAAGAGATGGTGATTTTCTCACTCTGTCATTGACATAATGTTGCCTGTGGTTAAGCACGAAATCAATGGCTGAGATGGTAAGTGTTGCATGGCTTATTGGTAGATCAAAGCATGACTGTTATGAATGATTGACTGAGTTGAATACAGTCATCTGAGAAGGCTTCATGGCAGGGGTAGAAACTGAACTATGCCTTGAAGGATATGTAGGAGTTGGAAAAGCAAAGAGAAAATAAAGGATGCAAATACTTGTAGGAACTCCAATTTGTTTGGGGAATAAATTTACAATAGGATATTATTTTTGTCATTTTTCTTGCAGCATGGTATTTTTAAAAGAGATATTTAAAGGCAATTCTCAATAATAATCTGCTCCATGCTGTGCCTGATTCTGGGCCAGATGAAGGTTGAGAGGAAAAATTGGGATTCATGGAAAAGGACAGAAGAGGAGGCTGCAGGTGATTTAACAATAGAGTAAGCAGAAAGTTCTTTGTCATCTGTTCATCACCACTGGAGACAAAACAGAAAAGATGACTGTTTTAGTGTGAGGGATTTAAATAAATAAGGAAAAGCATTTTGACATCCCCATGACTCTCACTTTAATCAATTATTAAATCTTATCTATTTGCTATTTTAATAATTTTGAATTCACTCTCCTGCCTGTCTGAAATGCCAAATTCTTAAGCCACCATCTCCTTTTGTCTAGATGATCATAGGAGTCTTCGGCCACTTTACCATATTCATTCTTCTCTCACTCTCTGCCAAATGAACAATCTTTAATAAAAGCAAATCAGATCATGGAAGTTTTCTTCCTTAAAACCTTTCTATAATTTACTATTCTTAGAATTAATTCCAAACTTTATAGCAAGACCTACTTGTTCCTGCATCCCAGGCCCTGCCTCTTCTCCAGCATCACTGCACGTCCACATTGCCTGGGCCCTTTATGTTTCAACCATATGGCCGTGGTTTTTTTTCACTTCAGGAACTTCCTATATAGGATTCCCTTTGACAGGAATATATTTCTCACCCTCACTTAATTCCTATACATCCAAAGATCAGTTTTTCATGGGACAGTTTCCTGGCCCCCTAGCCTATGTTAAATACCGCATTATAGGCTCTGGGGAGACATCGTTTTTATCCCACTTGTAATGACTTGTTTAATATCATCTTTCCAAAAGACACTTAGTGTACAACTGTTGAACAAAATAGGCAAGAAGTTGTGAAACTTAGTAATACATTCAGACATTAAAGAAAGACAATTAGTAATTCAGACATTAAAGAAAGACAATTTGTCCAATGATAAGTGACATCGATGAAAGAGAAGATACAGAGTAAGTATCAGGAATTTTAGATAAGGAAAGCAGTTTGCAGTATTAAAAAGAATGGTCAGTATGTCTCTATATCATACAAAAATTAACTCCAGAAATATTATAGTGTTAAATGTAAATCTTAAAATATAAAGCAATGGCCTCAGTAAAGCCTGGTGTGGACTAGTAAGTCATTAATAAATGTTTGTCAAGGAGATTAATGAGCAAAAATTTCAGATCATACTCATTTAAAATTCTAAAGTTGGTTTAGCCCCACTATGCACACAGTGCTCCCCTGACTGCGTAGCAGTGCAGGCAAACCATGGCCAACCCCAGCATTGTCTCAGTTCTGCTATGAAATCTCCTGTGGTAAAAGAGAATTTCTCTCACTTCTTTTTCCTGTCTCCTGTGAGATTCCAACAAGGTCTAACAGAGCTAATTAGTTACCCTGTCGCTAGGGCATAGGGACTTCCTGGCAGTGATTTCTGAGGGTGCCAGAAGATCTATTGAAAAAAAAAAAAAAAACACTGTTCCAGAGAGTAGACATGCAGATAGATTTGGTATTTCAACTCCTGGATTGCTGTCTCTGTCTTTATGTCTCTCGGTGTGTGTGTGTGTGTGTGTGTGTGTGTGTGTGTGTGTGTGTCTTTCTCTCTCTCTCTCACACACACACACATACACACACACACACACACACTTTCTCTTCCTGTCTCCCCTTCTGAAAAACAAACAGCTTGGCTCCTGGGCAGCTTAGCTTTAAATTGGAAAATGCAGCCTTGCTTGGCAGAACAACAGTATCACAGCCTCCCCACTGCTCAGAACAGCTTGTGACATACATCCCTGCAGGCAAGACCATAAAGGGCTGTCTAATATACTGGAACCACCACCTCCAAAAATACTTTCCTGTACAGCTTTTTCAGAATTCTAGTCTCTCAGGGCATTTCCTTTCTTCTCCTGCAATTTGTTACTCTGGAATTGATCCTTGGCTTCTTTCCTCCCTGCTTAATTAATGATCCTCATCTCTTGAGTCATTAGAAACCACTGTGGCCCTGGAGATGAGAACTAGTGCAGACATCAAAGGGCAATGGAGAGGAATCAGTGACAGGACAGGAGTTCTGAAAGGGCACTTTGGTCCCTCTGACTTTAATAACATAACAAATGTCCCTTTTAAGCCACTTCAGAGAATCCCAGATTCAAACAAGAGCTTCTATCTACCTCTCCTCCCTGCTCATCTCAAAAATACAAAATCTAGATTGAAGCCAGCTCTTGCATCATTCTTGTATTAGTCTGTTCTCACACTGCTGATAAAGACATATCTGAGACTGAGTAATTTATAAAGGAAAGAGGTTTAATTGACTCACAGTTCCACATGGCTGGAGAGGTCTCAAAATCAAAGGCAAAGGAGGAGCAAAGTCTTACACAGTGGCAGGTAAGAGAGCTTGTGTAGGGAAATTCCCCTTTGTAAAACCATAAGATCTCCTGAGACTTATTCACTATCATAAGAATAGCATGGGAAAGACCTGCCCCTATGATTCAATTACGTCCCACCAGATCCCTCCTACAACACATGGGAATTATGGAAGCTACAATTCAGGATGAGATTTGGGTGGGGACACAGCCAAACCATATCAATTCTAATTCTGTCCTAAAGGATAGTGGCACCTAATAAGTCTCCCTCTGCCATCCCTCTTGCATTCTCTTAGCCATAGTTAATAAAGGGACTCTAACATCCTTAACTTGCATTCAACAACCCAGTCACTATCTGCAGTGCTACTTTCCTTGGTGTCTTTTATGTGCTGGC